>NC_000004.12:97406229-97709259 GCF_000001405.40 Homo sapiens | reverse complement strand
AGATTAACACCTTTTTGTTAAAGTCAACTGTATTTAAAAAAAACACTTATTTGGCTGTGATTTTATAAACTAGAAATTGATGCATATGTGATAGTACTAATTAATTCAATTGAGTCATTTACTTTCTATTACTTTGAAATTCTTTTGATGAAAATTGTGCACTTAGAAGTTTGAATTCAGACTTCACATCACATTTTAGATTGATAAACATCCCATGAATATGAAAATTTAGAAAAGGCACAAGAGAAAAATCTGTAGTGCAATTAGTTTCATTTAAATATCTATTCAAGTAGTACAGAAATTAACAAAGATATATTTTTATGAAAAGAAAATTTTACTCAAATGAAAAAATTATAAAGGAATTTATTTAGAAAATCCTTTTGTTAGCAGATTACCCACTTGTCTAAAACCCTCATTCTGGGTAATTTTAAAGAAGGAATTAGTAGGTATTTTTTTTTAATTATGGGATAGAATAATTTTATACTATAGAAATGAGAAAATGCATTAACATATATGTAATTTAATTATATTTTCACCAAAAAATAGAAAAAAGTATTTTCTCTATTGCATATTCTCAGAAAAATAATGTTAAATGGCAGAAAGATATTTTATTGGGAGTATAGCAAGAGATCTTTAAAAAGTTTTCAATTTTTCTATTATTATAAATAGCCTTATAAAGATAGTTTTATACCTGATCTTTGTTCCTACCTTTGATTATTTCTTAAGGAAAAATTCTTAGAATCACTGGCAAACAAGGCTTGCTTCCTATTTAAGCCTAATACCTCTAATTACATGCTAGAACTCATTTACTTCATCTGCTCAAAGAGTGGTGCCAGCCATATTTCCCTTTACTTCATTGGTTTGGATATTATAAGGCATTTAATACATATCTGTAATTTTTTTAGAAATTATTTTTAGTGTGGTAATACTTTAATATCTTTTCATATTTCTTAAATAATTATTGGTCTATTTACGTTGTTTCCTTTGCCAAGTGAATTTTTTTAGATTTTATTTTTCAAAAAAACCATTTGATTATGAAAAGTGGTAATATTTTAAAAAAACATTCCCACATTGCTTTAGTTGTGTTTTTGTCCCTTTCACATTATTAGCTTTAGATGAGTTGCACTTTCATGTTTGTTTTTGCCGTGTATCAAAGACATCAATCTTGGAATACCCTTTATGTCATTAGCTTAGAGTATACATTTAAGAGAGTAGAAAGTCAGACCAAAGTACTTGTATTTGAATTTCAACATAACCACTCATTTGCTGTATAGTAATGGTTACCAACTTATCTAAGAAATTTTACCATGTTTTGCATGCTTGTTTGGTAAAATCTATTAAAAATTGTCTTTACTTTTAAAAATCATTTTGTTAGGCTTAGTGTTTCTTCATACCTAAGTTAATTTATTTAATGCCTTTATATTTTCTTTTGATTTGGATATGGTTTTTATTTTTGTCTTCGATTCTATGCTACCTTATATTTTTACTTTGGTATTAGGTTTGACACATCAATCTTTCTTTCCTTCCTTTCACTTATAATTTGGACTATCATCTTTATTATTCATCCAATTACTATTCAGAAGGCCCTTATTGATGCCCACCAGTCAATATTTCTTTCTAGTGCAGTTATTCTCATACTCTCATAGGTAACTCTTTCATACCTTCTCTGTTCTAAAATCTCTAGTACTTCCCCCCTCCCTCCATCCTCTTTTATTTATTGAAATTATTTTCATTTTTTTGAGACAGGGTCTCACTCTGTTGCCCAGGTTGGACTGCAGTGGTACAATCACAGTTCACTGTAGCCTTGACCTCCTAGGCGCAAGTAATTCTCCCACCTCAGCCTCCCAGGTAGCTGGAACTACAAGCACGCACCACCATACCTGGCTAATTTTTTGTATTTTTTGCAGAGATGGGGTTTTGCCCTGTTGCCCAGGCTGGTCTTGGACTTCTGGAAGCAATCCAACTGCCTTTGCCTCCCAAAGTGCTGAGATTATAGGCGTTAAGCCACCGCACCCAGCTCTCTCATTCTCTTTTAGTTAATGCCTTCAGACATTTTACTTATCATTTCCACATGGTCCTATCAGCACATCACTTTCCCCAACAACATTTCTACATATTTACTCCACTTCTCCTCCTGATGCTGAACTGTCTTGCCTCCTACTTAAGCCTAATACCTTTAATTACCTGCTAGATCTCATTTGCTTCATCTGCTCAATGATGTTGTACCAGCAATTTCTCCCTTTACTTCATTTTTCCCTCTCTGCCAAATCATTCAGGTAAACATACAACCATTTTGCCTATCGTCTCATCTAAAAATATCTCTCAGCCTCATTTTTCCTTCAATTAAACCCCTGTTTCTATATTTTCTTCTTTAAAAAGCTACTCAAAGTACTAGCATACATTCATCGTTTCCATTTTCTCTTTTCTTATTCTCTTTTAATTTGACACTTGTAAGGCTTTCTCCCCAACTACTCCACAGAAATGGCTCATCAATGACTTTCATAAATCTTTTGCCCAATCCTGTGGTAGATCCTGTGTCGAATCTCCTTATTTTACTTAACCTAGCAGCAGCATTTAATATAGTGGATTATTCTTCTTGGAAATGTTCATCCTGCCCCAAGTTGGGTTTTCAGACTACCATTCTCTCTATGTCTGAGTTGGTTTTGGCTGCTTTAACAAACTAACAGAGACTGGGTGGTTTATAAACAACAAAAATTTATTTCTCATAGCTCTGAACACTGGAAAATCCTAGATAAAATTTAGTGTTTTGTGAGGGTCTTCTTCCTGATTCACAGACAGCTGTCTTCTTGCTGTGTCCTCACATGGCAGAAGGGCAAAGGAGCTCTCTTTTATAAGGGCCTAATTCCATTCACGAGGGCTCTACCTCAGGACCTACAAATGCCAACTTTCTAATACTATCACACTAGGGGTTACTATTTCAACATATGGATTGACAGTAAGTAGAGATGGAAACAAATTTTTTAGGGCATTAGTCTCTATATTGGTCCCTACAAGCTACTCGCAGAGGGGTGCTGAGTATATGTGTCTAGTCCTCCGTTATCTGCTTTTTTCAGAAGGGCTACCCTTCCTATGCTTTATATATTATATATGTTAGAAAAAGAGTTCCACTACTTACGAATAAAAAGAAAAATTCAAAGCTACAGTTATAAGGAAAAGGTAGATTCATTGGATCAAGAGAAAATAGTATAAATTGCACTTTGATCACTTGATAGCTCAGATACAAGGATAAAAACTGCTATAAATGTAGTACAAATCTATACTGAAAAAAGCATGTATTACAGTACTTGATATACAGTGGGACTGTATGTTATAGTTATTATATATTAGATATGTTATATATGTTATTGTTACTGTTACCTTTGTTTCATGGCTATATTCATTTATTTCTAGTTTATAAATATGATCCTAGTATGGTATAGGCTCTGAGTCCAAAATGAAAAATCTCTATTCTCAACTATATAGCAATCTAGTAAGGAGAAACTATATATAAACATTTTAATTATAATAAAATAATTATTATTTGTTAATAGGTGAAAGGTACCAATATGATAAAGAATTTCTGGGCTGGGTGCAGTGGCTCATACCTGTAATCCCAGCACTTTAAGAATTTCTGGGCTTGGCACAGTGGCTCACACCTGTAATCCTAGAACTTTGGGAGGCTGAGGTGGGCAACTCATCGGAGGTCCAGAGTTCAAGACCAGCCTGGTCAACATGATGAAACCCCGTCTCGACTAAAGATACAAAAATTAGCCAGGTGTGGTGGTGTGCACCTGTTGTCCCAGCTGCTTAGGAGGCAGAGACACGAGGATCGCTTGAACTTGGGAGATGGAGGTTGCAGTGAGCCGAGATCGCGCCACTGCACTCCAGCCTGGGTAACAGAGTGAGACTCCATCTCAGAAAAAAAAAAGAATTTCTAAGTTAGACAAAGGGAGTAAGACTTCAGAAAGTATTTTATATGAAATATAAAAGAGTAATGGGAGTTTTTTACTTAGACAAGCCAATGGGGCTTTTTCTAGGCAAAGGAAACAGTATATGCAAAGTCAAAGAGGCACTGGAGAATAGAATATCCTTGTCAAGCTTATTGTTAGTATTACTAAAATATAAAATGAATAGAATGATATTAGATATGTAGATAGTATTAGATCACAAAGAGTATCAAAATATGCAGTTTTAATTTTCTCCTCTGAGCTATAGACACCAAAGATTTCTGAGTAGAATTATAGTGTTATATATTAATACAAATCAAGCAACACCCAGTGTTTTATTTTTTAATATTTTAAGATATTTTTTCCATATTTTTTCTTGATAAATTTCTTATAAGGAATGATAAAGCATGATTTAAATTATATATGCTTTTTAATATTGAATGACAGTTTCTAAGTTTATTTCTAATGTTCATATTATCTTTGTGGAAAATTTTCAATTGTAGCTATGAAATATATTTTAGAATGTGACTTAAACTTCTCCGTTTACAAACTCACTTTTATACTGTAGTTTTAATATTTGTGGGACAGTATTTTATGTTATTTGAAAATGTGATTTAAACTTTTGGTTTTAGAAATTGGTTTTGCACTTCAATTGTAAAGGTCATGGCACATTACTTAATACCCCAAAGTGAATGTTTAAAAGCTACCTGTCATTTGCCATTCTAAAAAGGTCTTTGACTCTCCATGGACTACAACCTTGCTTTAATTCTTTTCCTTCATTTCTTCTGACAGAACTCTTGATATTCTTTTGAACTTCCTAGGTCATTAAATTTTAGGAGACAGATTATGTTCTGTCTGGGAAAATCTATTTTCAGCCTATGGTATTAGGCCTTGGGATATCTGTCAGAGGTATGAGCTTCTCTGGGTTGTGTTGAGAGGAATCCAGACATATTATGGAAGTATTTCTTGTATCGGAATAGAGAAAGATCTTTGTATCTTAAGGATAGCTTTCAGCCCAGAAAGATCATTTGGATAATTATATGTTATGGATCATTTACATGGAGTTCATAAACTCTTTCATGGTGTGATGGTTAATACTGAGTGTCAACTTAATTGGATTGAAGGATACAGAGTATTCAAAATACTGATCCTGGGTGTGTCTGTTAGGGTGTTGCCAAAGGAGATTAACATTTGAGTCAGTGGGCTGGAAAGGCAGACCCACCGTTAATCTGGGTGGGTACCATCTAATCAGCTGCCAGCACAGCTAGAATATAAAGCAGGCAGAAAAATGTGAAAGGATAAGACCAGCCTAGCCTCACAGCCTATATCTTTCTCTCATGCTGGATGCTTTCTGCCTTCAAACTTCAGACCCCAAGTTCTTCAGTTTTGGGACTCAGACTGGCTCTCCTTGCTCCTCAGTTTGCAGACAGCCTATTGTGGGACCTTGTGATTATGTAAGTTAATACTTAATAAATCCCCCTGTGTATATATGTATATATACACACACACACACACACATATATATACACACACACACAAATATACTATGCTAATATACTATATATATACGATAATATATTATATATACTAAATATATATACTATAATATACTATATATACTAAATATATATACTATATATATTTTATATATGTTTTATTTATATATGTTTTATTTATATATATAATATATATAGTATATATACTATACACTACTTATAGTATATATATACTATATATACTAAATATAATAGTATATATAGTATATTATAGTATATAGACTTATATATAGTATATAGTCTATATACTATATACTGTATATACTATATATATACTATATACTACTATATATATAGTGTGTGTATATATATAGCATATATCATATTATATATAGTATATATATATAATAGGATATATATATATATCCTATTAGTTCTGACCCTCTAGAGAACCCTGACTAATACAGATTTTGGTAACACAAGTGGTTCTAGAAGAACAGAATATTAAGGATCGAGTTCTTTTGCTGGTTTTGGGGTTCTAGAGTTGGCTGCTTAATATGATTAGATCCCAAAATGCTAAGATTCTACTTCTAATAATATGGAGAACACTGATAGTCCTTGGCATGAACTGTTTAGAGAGCTGTGCAAAATAAATGCATTTGACACTCCTGATTCACTGCTCGTGAGAAGCAAGGAGTCTAGTCAGTCTATACCTAATACTTTTGACCATATGCGGAGAACCAAGGAACATAATGAAGCTGGTTGGTTGCTCCAAACTTCAGTGAACAAAGTAATGAAAGAAAATGATGAATCTACGGATTCTAACTCCCAGCCTCAGAAGCAGATACTGAGCCTCAAATCTGCTAAGATTGCCCTGAGTCAGAGTCTTACCTCCTGTAGAGAAAGACCTGAAATTGTGGAAAAATAGACACAAGCTCTTATCATGCAAGTGGCTGACGTGCAACGAAAGGTGCAGGCACAGCCTCACCAGGTGTCTACTATTAATGTGAGGGCATTGACTGGAAAAGAATGGGACCCTACAACTTTGAATGGGGATGTGTGGGAGGACCCTGATGAAGCTGGGGACACTGAGCTTGTAAACTCTGGTGAAGCTTTTTTGCCAGAACAAACAGCTTCACCATCCCCAGTAGTGGCAATATCTCCTTCTTGACCCATGCTGCCATCAGCCATTCCACCTTTGTCTGAGGAGATAAACCCTGCACTACCTGAGGCAACAGTGATGGCCTCCGGTGAGACAGTTGCCAGGAAAGATAATATTGATTCTCTTCAGGAGCCACCCCTAATGCCCCCATTTGCTTCTAGACCTATAACTAGATTAAAGTCCCAGTGGGTCACTAGAGGTGAGGTTGAGGGTTTGACCCATGAGAAGGTGTGTTACACTTGAAAAAACTGCTTGAATTTTTAACTTATATAAACAGAAATCTGGAGAACAGGCATGGGAATGGATATTAAGGATGTGGGATAATGTTGAAAGGAACATAGAGTTGGATCAAGCTGAATTTATTTATTTGGGCCCACTAAGTGGGGACTCTGCATTTAATGTTGCAGCTCAGGGAGTTAAAAAAGGTTCTAATAGCTTATTTGCATGGTTAGCTGAAATATGGATTAAAAGATGGCCCACTGTAAGTGAGCTGGAAATGTGTGGTATCCCTTGGTTTGATGTAGAGGAAGGGATCCAAATGCTTAGAGAGATTGGGAAGGTGGAATGGATTAGTCTTTAGACCTACTCATCCCAGCTGGGAGGATCCAGAAGACATCCCCTGAACAATGCGTTGTGAAACAGATTTGTGAGGGTAGCACCTGCATCTTTGAAGAGCTCTGTAATTGCTCTTCTCTGTATGTCACATCTAACAATGGGAACCACCGTCACTCAACTACAAAATTTAAATATAATGGGAGTAATTGGATCCCAAGGTGGCAGGGGCCAAGTGGTGGCACTCAACTGTCAAAGGCAAAGTGGTCGTAGCTACTGTGATGGACAGCAGAGACAAAGCAGCAGTCAGAATAGTCTGACTTATGTAGAGCTATGGGATTGGCTAATTAATCATGGTTTTCCTAGAAGTGAAATTGACAGGAAGCCTACTGCATTCCTACTTAATTTATATAAGCAGAAACCTTCTAGGTTGAATGGACAAAAGACTAATTTGAATTATAAAAACAGAATCACGGCCCCTCAATCAATTTCCAGACTTGAGCAGGTTTACAGATCCAGAACCCCTTGAATGATGGGGAGGCTGGGTCCCCTTGAGGGAGGACCCCACTACACTACCAACAATTTATGCTGTTAATCTTTTTTCCATCCTTCCCCATGGAGACCTCTGGTTAACTGTGCATTGGGGAAAGGGAAATTATCAGACATTTTGGGGACTACTGAACACTGGCTCTGAGCTGACATTGATTCAGGGGATCCAATATGTCATCGTGGTCCTCCAGTTAAAGTAGAGGCTTATGGAGGTCAGATAATTAAAGGGGTTTTAGCTCAGGTCTGACTTACAGTGGGTCCAGTGGGTCCCTGGACTCATCTTGTGGTCATTTTCCCAGTGCCAGGATGCATAACTGGCATAGACATACTTAGCAGCTGGCAGGACCCCCACATTGGCTCCCTGAATGGTAGGGTGAGGGCTACTATGGTGGGAAAGGCCAAATGGAAGGCATTAAGAGCTGCCTCTACCTAGAAAAATAGTAAATCAGAAACAGTATTGCATCCCTGGAGGGATTGCAGAGATTAGTGCCACTATCAAGGATATGAAAGATGCAGGGGTGGTGATTCCCACCACATCCCCACTCACCTCTCCCATTTGGCCTGTGAGGAAGACAGATGGATCTTGGAGAATGACAGTGGATTATTATAAGCTTAATCAAGTGGTGACTCCAATTTCAGCTGCTGTACCAAATGTGGTTTCATTGATTTGAGCAAATTAACACATCTCCTGGTACTTGCTATGCAGCCATTGACTCAGGAGCTGCATAAGGCCCTGTCCATAAGGCCCATCAGAAGCAATTTGCCTTCAGCTGGCAAGGCCAGCATTATACCTTTACAGTCCTACCTCAGGGGTATATCAACTTCTGGCTTTTTGTCATAATCTTATTTGGAGAGACCCTGATCACTTTCCACTTCCGCAAGATATCACACTGGTCTATTACACTGATGACATTATTTTGATTAGATCCAGTGAGCAAGAAGTAGGAAACACACTGGACTTATTGGTGAGACACTTGCATGCCAGAAAATGGGAAATAAATCTGACTAAAATTCAGGGACTTTCTCCCTCAGTAAAATTTCTAGGGGTCCAGTGGTGTGGGGCCTTTTGAGATATTCCTTCTAAGGTTAAGGATAAGTTGCTGCATTTGACCCCTTCTACAACCAAGAAAGTGGCAGAATGCCTACTGCACCTATTGGGATTTTGGAGACAACACATTCCTCATTTGGGTGTATTGCTCTGGCCCATTTGTTGAGTGACCCAAAAGGCTGCTATTTTGGAGTGGAGTCCAGTACAGGAGAAGGTTCTGTAACAGGTCCAGGCTACTGTACAAGCTGCTCTGCCACTGGGGCCATATGACTCAACAGATCCAATTGGTTGTGGTATCAGTGGCAGATAGGGATGATGACTGGAGCCTTTGGCAGTCCCCCATAGGTGAATCACAGCAGAGACCTCTAGGATTTTGAAGCAAGGCCCTGCCATCTGTGGATAACTACTCTCCTTTTGAGGGACAGCTCTTGGCCTGTTACTGGGCTTTGGTAGAAACTGAACGTTTGACTATGGGTCATCAAGTCACCACATGACCTCAACTGCCTATCATTAACTGGGTGCTTTCTGACCCATGTAGCCATAAAGTGGGTCATGCACAGCAGCATTCTCTCATTAAATGAAAGTGGCATATAAGTGATCAGGCTCAAGCAGGTCCTGAAAGCACAAGTAAGTTACATGAGGAAGTGCTCAAATGCCCATGGTCTCCACTGATGCCACACTGCCTCGTCTCCTCCAGCCTGCACTGATGGCCTCATGGGGAGTTCCTTATGATTAGTTGACAGAGAAAGAGAAGACTAGGGCCTGGTTCATAGATGGTTGTGCATCATAAGCAGGCACCACCCAAAAGTGGACAGCTGCAGCACTACAGCCTCTTTCTAGGACATCCTTGAAGGACAGCAGTGAAGGGAACTCTCCTCAGTGGGCAGAACTTTGAGCAGTGCACCTGGTTATGCACTTTGCATGGAAGGAGAAATGGCCAGATGTACGATTATATACTCATTCATGGACTGTAACCAATGGTTTGGCTGGATGGTCAGGGACTTGGAAGAAGCATAAGAAAATTGGTGATAAAGAAATTTATGGAAGAGGTATGTGGATGGACCTCTCTGAGTGGTCAAAAATTGTGAAGATATTTGTATCCCATGTGAGTGCTCACCAATGGGTGACCTCGACAGAGGAGCATTTTAGTAATCAATTGGATAGTATGACCCATTCTGTGGATACCACTCAGCCTCTTTCCCCAGCCACCTCAGTTATTGCCCAATGGGCCCATGAACAAAGTGGCCATGGTGGCAGTGATGGAGGTTATGCATGGGCTCAACAACATGGATTTCCACTCACCAAGGCAGACCTGGCTGCAGCCACTGTCGAGTGCCCAATTTGCCAGCAGCAGAGACTGACACTGAGCCCTCAGTATAGCCACATTCCTCAGGGTGATCAGCCAACTACCTGGTAGCAGGTTGATTGTATTGGACCTCTTCTGAAAGGGCAGAGGTTTGTCCTCACTGGAATAGACACTTACTCTGGATATGTGTTTGCCTATCCTGTATGCAATGCTTCTGCCAAGACTATCATCAGTGGACTCACAGAATGCCTTATCCACTGTCATGGTATTCCACACAGCATTGCCTCTGACCAAGGCACTCACTTTATGGCTAAAGAAGTGTGGCAGTGGGCTCATGTTCATGGAATTCACTAGTCTTACCATGTTCCCCATCATCCTGAAGCAGCTGGATTGATAGAATAGTGGAATGGCCTTTTGAAGTCACAATTACAACGCCGACTAGGTGACAATACTTTGCCGGGCTCTGGCAAAGTATTCCAGAAGGCCATGAATGCTCTGAATCAGCCTCCAATATATGGCATTGTTTCTCCCATAGCCAGGATTCACAGGGCCAGGAATCAAGGGGTGGAAGTGGAAGTGGCGTCACTCATCATCAACCTTAGTGACCACTAGCAACATTGTTGCTTCCTGTTCTCACGACATTACATTTTGCTAGCCTAGAGGTCTTAGTTCCAGAGGGAGGAATGCTGCCACCAGGAGACACAACAATGAATCCATTAAATTGGAAGTTAAGATTGCCACCTGGACACTTTGTGCTCCTCCTACCTTTAAGTCAACAGGCTAAGAATGGAGTTACAGTGTTCGCTGGAGTTACTGATGCAGATTATCAAGATGAAATCAGTCTACTACTCCACAACGGTGGTAAGGAAGAGTATGGATGGAATACAGGAGATCCATTAGGGCGTCTCTTAGTATTGCCATGCCCTGTGATTAAGCTTAATGGGAAACTCCAACAGTTCTGCCAATCCAGGCAGAAATACAAATGGCCCAGACCCTTCAGGAATGAAGGTTTGAGTCACTCCACCAAGAAAATAACCACGACCTGCTGAGGTTCTTGCTGAAGGCAAAGGGATGCTGCTGAGACCAGATCGGTCATGGAGACCCTAACCCAGTGGTGCTAGAGGAATTAAAAACACACACAAAGAAATATAGAGTGTGGAGTGGGAAATCAGGGGGCTGGCAGCCTTCAGAGCTGAGAGCCATGAACAGAGTTTTACCCACGTATTTATTGACAGTAAGGCAGTGATAAGCATTGTTTCTATAGATTATAGATTAACTAAAAGCATTCCTCACGAGAAGAAAAGGGATGGGCCGAAACAAAGGGATGGGTTCTGGCTAATTATCTGCAGCAGGAACATGTCCTTAAGGCACAGATAACTCATGCAATTGCTTGTGGTTTAGGAACACCTTAAGCAGTTTTCCACCTTGGGTGGGCCAGGTGTTACTTGCCCTCATTTCGGTAAACTAACAACCTTCAGCATGGGTGTCATAGCCATCACGAGCATATCACAGTGCTGCAGGGATTTTGTTTATGGCCAGTTTTGTGGCCAGTTTATAGCCAGATTTGGGGGCCTGTTCCCAACAAGTTCCCCCTTTTTGTTTTTGCAAGACAATAAAAGCAAAGGTGGCTTTATCACAGTGAGCTACTTCTCGCAGGAATCAGGATTCGCATCTGCAGACTATACAAAGACAAACAACAGAGATTAAAAGCACAATCATCATTGAAATCACAGAGCCTCCAAGTGTTTTTATCCATTGTAATGGGTTACTAGCTGCTAAGCCATCTGCAGCTCCTTCAAGCACTCCAGTTCCTGGCATTAAGGTCAGGGGTGCCTGGGATGCTTTTAATATTTGTTCTTTTAGTTTTGCAACATCCAAAGACAAGTTTGTAGAGTGTCCTTATAGATGCTTTTTAATTCTTTCCCAAATTTTGATCTTATTAAGAGCCATTAATAGTTATCACAAATCCTTATATTTAGCTCCCACAGTGGGCCATATTATTTGAGGTTGAGGTGCCACTATACCACCATGTTTCCAGATAATAAGGTCTTGCTGTACTTCTCACCATTTCTACTATCTGACCATTTTGTTTAGACCAGGTGAACATAGTGTGGCTGTGGCATGCAGACAGAGAGGTGCAATTCAAGCTAAACATTCCCTTAGGGGACCAATCAATAATGATTCCACAGGAATCCTTGCACAGCACCTATGCCTGTTCTGCAATGCAATCTTCCCAAACAAGTATGTTCATTTTTTCTGGCCAGGTCCAATCCTGTTTACAAATAGTTTTTTGAGGGTGGTATGCCTCAATTATAGGAGCAGAAAATTAATTTTTTTGATTATGGGCATTCTTGCAGGAGAAGGTGGTATTACATTGTGGGTTTGATTTGGATTTCCCTGATAATTAGTGATGTTGAGCATTATTTAATGTCTGTTGGCTATTTGTATTTGTATATCTTCTCTTGAGAATTGTCTGCTCTTGTCCTTTGCCCACTTTTTGATGGGATTGTTTTCTTTTGTCTTGCTGACTTGTTTTAAGTTCCTTGTAGATTCTGAATACTAGTCCATTGTCAGATGTATAGATTGGGAAGATTTTCTCCCACTCTGTGGGTTTTGTGTTTACTCTGCTGATTATTTCTTTTGCTGTGTAGAAACTTTTTAGTTTAATTAAGTCCCATCTATTTATCTCTATTTTTATTGTGTTTGCTTTTCTGTTCTTAGTCGTGAAGTCTTGGCCTAAGCCAGTGTCTAAAAGGGTTTTTCCAATGCTATCTTCTGGAATTTGTATGGTTTCAGGTCTCAGATTCAAGACTTTGATCCATCTTGAGTTTATTTTTCTATAAGGTAAGAGATGAAGATTCAGTTTTCTTCTGTGTGTGACTTGCCAATTTATTACAGGACCATTTGTTGAATAGGGTGACCTCTCCACACTTTATGTTTTTGTTTGCTTTGTCAAAGATCAATTGACTGTAAGTATTTGGCTTTATTTCTAGGTTCTCAATTATGTTCAATTATGTTTCATTTGTCTATGTGCCTATTTTTATGCCAGTAATATGCTGTTTTGGTGACTATGGCCTTATAGTATAGTTTGAAGTTGGGTAATGTAATGCCTCCAGATTTGTTCTTTTTGCTTAGTCTTGCTTTGGCTATGTGGGCTCTTTTTTTGGTTTCATATGAAATTTAGGTTTTTTTTTCTAGTTCTATGAAGAATGATGGAGTCTCCACACACAATGCAGTTTGATGGGAACTGCATTGAATTTGTAGATTGCTTTGGCAGTGTGGTCATTTTCACAATGTTGGTTCTATGTATCTATGGGCATGGAATGTGTTTCCATTTGTGATGTCTTTCATTACTTTCAGCAGTGTTTCGTAGTTTTCCTTGCAGAAGTCTTTCACTTCCTTGGTTTGGTTAGATATATTCCTAAGTAGTTTCTTTTTTTTTTTTTCCATCTGTTTTAAAAGGGGTTGTGTTCCTGATTTGATTCTCAGCTTGATCAGTGTTGGTGTATAGCAGACTACTGATTTGTGTACATTGATGTAGTATCCTGAAACTTTGCTTAATTCATTTTTCAGTTCTAGGGGCTTTTTGGATGAATCTTTAGGGTTTTCTAGGTATACTGTCATATCATCAGCGAACAGCAACAATTTGACTTCCTCTTTACCAATTTGGATGAAGAAATAAATTTCCTACTCTTATCTAATTACTCTGACTAGGACTTCCAGCACTATGTTGAATAGAAGTGGTGAAAGTGCGCATCCTTGTCTTGTTCCAGTTCTCAGGAAGAATGCTTTCAACTTTTCCCCATTCAGTATAATGTTGGCTGTGGGTTTGTCATAAATGGCTTTTATTACCTTAAGGTATGTTCCTTCTATGCTGATTTTGCTGAGGGTTTTAATCATAAAGGGATGCTGGATTTTGTCAAATGATTTTCTGTATCTATTGAGATGATCATCTGATTTTTGTTTTTAATTCTGTTTATGTGGTATATCACACATATTGACTTGCAGATATTAAACCATTCCTGCATCCCAGATATGAAACCCACTTGATCACGGTGGATTATCTTTTTTATATGCTTTTGGGTTTGGCTAGCTACTATTTTTTTTTTTTGGAGGATTTTTGCATCTATTTTCATCAGGGACATTGGTCTATAGTTTTCTCTTTTTGTTATGTCCTTTCATGGTTTTGCTATTAGGGTGACATTGGCTTCATGGAATGATTTAGGAAGGATTCCCTCTTTCTCTATCTTTTGCAATAGTGTCAATAAGATTGGTACTAATTCTTCTTTGAATGTCTCGTAGAATTCAGCTGTGAATCTGTCTGCCTCTGGACTTTTTTTGTTGCTAATTTTTTTTTTTTTTTTTTTTTTTTTTTTTTTTTTTTTTTGTGACAGAGTCTTGCTCTGTAACCCAGGCTGGAGTACAGTGGCATGATCTCGGCTCACTGCAAGCTCTGCCTCCCGGGTTCACACCATTCTCCTGCCTCAGCCTCCTGAGTAGCTGGGACTACAGGTGCCTGCCACCACACTCAGCTAACTTTTTGTATTTTTTTTTTAATAGAGACGGGGTTTCACCGTGTTAACTAGGATGATATCGATCTCCTGACCTCATGATCCACCCGCCTCGGCCTCCCAAAGTGCTGGGATTACAGGCGTGAGCCACTGCACCTGGCCTGTTGGTAACTTTTCAAGTACCATTTAATCTCGCTGCTTGTTACTGATCTGTTCAACATTTCTATTTTTTTTTCTGTTTTAATCTAGGAGGGTCTTATATTTCCAGGAATTTATCCATCTCCTCTTTATGCATGTAAAGTTGTTCATAGCAGCCTTGAATGATTTTTTTTGTATTTCTGTAGTATTGGCTGTAATATCTCCCATTTCATTTCTAATTGAGCTTATTTGGATCCTCTATCTTCTTGATTAATCTCACCAATGGTCTATCAATTATATTTATCTTTTCAAAGAACTGGCCTTTTGTTTGATTTATCTTTTGTTTTTTGTTTGTTTGTTTGTTTCAGTTTCATTCAATTCTGCTCTAATTTTGTTTTTTCGTTTCTTCTGCTGGCTTTGGGTTTTGTTTGTTCTTACTTCTCTAGTTCCTTGAGGTGTGACCTTAGATTGTCTATTTGTGCTCTTTAAGACTTTTTGATGTAGGTGTTTGATGCTATGAACTTTCTTTTCAGCACCACTTTTGCTGTATCCCAGATGTTTTGATAGGTTGTGTCACTATTATCATTCAGTTCAGAGTCTTTTAATTTCCATCTTGATTTCATTGTTGACTCAATGATCATTCAGGAGCAGGTTATTTAATTTCCATGTATTTGCATGGTTTTGAGGGTTCCTTTTGGAATGTATTTCCAATTTTGTTCCACTGTTGTCTGAGAGAGTACTTGCTATAATTTGATTTTCTTGAATTTTTTTGGAACTTGTTTTGTGTTCTATCATATGGTCTGTCTTTGAGAATGTTCCATGTGCTAATGAATAGAATGTATATTTTGCAATTGTTGGGTAGAATGTTGTATAAATATCTGTTAAGTTCATTTGATGTATGGTACAGTTTAAGTCCATCTGTCTTGATGACCTGTCTAGTGCTGTCAGTGGAGTATTGAAGTCCCCCAGTATTATTGTATTGCCGTCTATCTCATTTCTTGGTCTAGTAGTAATTGTTTTATAAATTTGGGATCTCCAGTGTTAGTGCATATATATTTAGGATTGTGATATTTTCCTTTTAGAGTAGTCCTTTTATCATTTTACAATTTCCGTATGTCTTTTTTAACTGTGTTTCTTTAAGGTTTGTTTTGTCTGATATAAGAATAGCTATTCCTGCTTGTTTTGGTGTTGATTTGCATGGGATACCTTTTTCTACCCTTTTACCTTAAGTTTATGTGAGTCCTTATACTCACAAGCAGATACTTGGTTGATGAATTCTTACTCATTCTGCCATTCTGTAACTTTTAAGTGGAGCATTTAGGCCATTTACATTCAATGTTAGTATTGACATGTGAGGTACTATTCTATTCATCATGCTATTTGTTGCCTGAATACCTTTCTTTTTTTTTTTTTTATCATTGTTATTGTTTTATTGGTCATGTGAGATTTGTGCTTTAAGGAAATTCTATTTTGGTGTATTTTAAGTTGTTTCAAGGTTTAGAGCTACTTGTATCAGTTCTTGTAGTGCTGGCTTAGTAGTGGCAAATTCTCTCAGCATCTGTTTGTCTGAAAAAGATTGTATCTTTCCTTCATTTATGAAGCTTAGTTTCACTGGATACAAAATTCTTGGCTGATAATTGTTTTGTTTAAGGAGGCTACAGATAGGACACCAATCCCTCCTCGCTTGTAGGATTTCTGCTTAGAAATCTCCTGTTAATATGATAGGTTTTCTTTTTTAGGTTACCTGATGCTTTTGCCTCACAGCTCTTTAAATTTTTACTTTTGTTTTGACTTTAGATAACCTGATGAACTATGTGCCTAGGCAATGATCATTTCACAATACATTTCCTAGATGTTCTTTTAACTTCTTGTAGTTGAGTGTCTAGATCTCTAGCAAGGCTGGGGAAGATTTCCTTGATTATTCCCTCAAATATCTTTTCTAAACTTTTAGATTTCTCTTCTTCCTCGGGAATACCAATTATTGTTAGGTTTGGTTGTTTAACATAATCCCAGACTTCTTGGAGGCTTTGTACATTTTTTAAAATTATTTTTTCTTTGTTGTTTTCAGATTGGGTTAATTTGAAAGCCTTGTCTTTGAATATCTGAATTTCTTTCTTTTTCTTGTTCGATTCTATTGCTGAGACTTTCCAGTGCATTTTGCAATTCTCTATGTGTGTCCTTCATTTCCAGAAGTTGTGATTGGTTTTTATTTATGCTATCTATTTCACTTGAGGTTTTTTTTTTTTTTTTTTCATATCCTGTATCATCTTTTTGATTTCTTTAAGCTGGGCTTCACCTTTCTCTGATGCCTTCTTGATTAGCTTAATGGTCAACTTTCTGAATTCTTTTTCTGGCAATTCAGAAATTTCATCTTGGTTTTGATCCACTGCTGGTGAGCTTGTGTGATCTTTTGGGAGTGTTAAGGAACCTTGTTTTGTCATATTACTGGAGTTGTTTTTCTGGTTCCTTCTCATTTTGGTAGACTATATCAGAGGGAAAATCTGGGACTTGAGGGCTGCTGTTCAGATTGTCTTTTTGTCCCATAGGGTGCTCCTTTCATGCAGTGCTCTTTCCTTTCCCCAGGGATGGGGCTTTCTGAGAGCATGTTATTTCTCTTCTGGATCTAACCACACAGTCAAGCTACCAGGCTCTGGGCTGGTAATGGGGATGTCTGCAAAGAGTCTTGTGATATGATTCGTCTTCACGTCTGTCAGCCATGGATAGCAACACCTACTCCCGGTGGAGGTAGCCAGGAAGTGAAGTGGACACAGGGAGGGTCCTTAAACCTTGTTACGTGGACTGGTTTTGTATCGTTTTGCCTCCAGCCAGGAGTTGGTGATTTCAAGAGCATATCAGCTTTGGTTGTATAGGGAGGATTCAAGCTTGCCCTAGGGTTAGGTGGTGGGTAGGGCCATAGAACTTTCAAGGGATTAAGTCTTTTTTCTTGTGCTACCAGGGCGGGTAGAGAAAGATCATCAGGTGGAGGCAGGGTTAGGTGTGTCTGAGCTTAGACTCTCCTTGGGCAGGGCTTGCTGGGTCTGCTGTGAGAAGTGGAGTTGTGGTTCCCAGTACAATAGAGTTATGTTCCCAGGGGGATTATGGCTGCCTCTGCTACATCATACAGGTCACCAAGGAAGTGGGGGAAAGCCAACAGCCACAGGCCTCACCCAGCTCCCACGCAGCCTGTACCCTGAAAGGCTGGTATTACTTTCATCATGCCCCCACAACAGCACAGTTTATTTCGAGGCAGCTGGTGAACAGGGCTTAAAACTTGCCCCAGGCCATAAGACTCCCAGCTGAGAAAGCAAACTGACTTACTGTCCCATGGGACAGTTCCTCAGCTGTCCCATGGAGCCTGCAGTGGCAATCCACCTCCTTCAAAGGGTCTGTGGATTCTCTCAGTTTTCCTGATAGCTTCCTGTGGTAGTTCTTGGAGAAAAAGTTCATAATGTAGGTTTCCATATGCTGCTCTGTCCATCCAAGTGGGAGCTGCAAGTTAGTCCTGCCTCCTAACTGCCATTTCAAAAGTCACACTAATTGCGTTCTTACAGGATATTGACACTCGGGTGCAATAATGTTTCATCTTCATGGATTCTGTCATTGATATTGACCTAGTCATTTCTGAGAGGATTGATTCAACCTGTTTAAGTGCATGGTTAACAATTCTACTCTTGAAGAACAGTGGGTATGGCAACAAAATAATATGTTCTTCTACTCACAGTTTTTCAGAGTCCCAAGTTTTGCTATTTGCCTTTCTGTTTCTTTCTTTTTTTAATGCAGCTTTCTTTCTTAGCTTTAGAGGAAGTTGAAAGAAAGAAATATTAATGGAATCATGTAAATTAACAGCCACAGATCTAAATGAATAGCACCTATATTCAACCAGGGTTGCTTAAACAAGCTTGAACACCTAAACTCTCTTTCTCCCGAGTGAGTTGTTTGCTAAATATGTTATGGAGAGAGATGTTAGGTGATTGCTTTTCTCAGTACTGGTTAAGAATATTGGACCTTGGAGCAGATTGTCCCTATCAGTTTGTATAATCATTATACATCAGGAATGGTCCTCAGTTTATATACATAGGACCTATTGCCTACTCTTGGTGGTACTATATTAGTATTGATTTGCCCGTATAGATTTCTGGTTTTGCCCTGAGGACTAAAAGTGGCTACCTTCTGGCTACCTCCTGTTGTCAGTGGCCTACAGTTTTGTAACATAGTCCATTTTGTGTCCTGGAAAACATTAATTTCTTGATAATTGACTCGGATATGATAGCTTGAACTTAATTATCCTGAGTCTGAAATATATAAGTCATTTTGAGTAGCTGTTGTCAGTAAAATGTAAAAAAAATCAATTACTCTAATTTACTGAGAAAAAAGGTGATGACAGTTTTCACCTTGTAAAAGTAAAGTGCTACTTTTGTATCTTTAATTATTGGAAGCTGTATTTAGAAAGTGCTGGTCTAGATAAAGTGATATTGCTTCAGTAACTGCTTTATTGATTTAAATATGCTTAAAGTGTAAAATTAGTTTTCAGTCCCCTGAACTCTGAAATATTAATGAGGAGTTTAGAGAAATTATTTCCAATTATAATACAAAAGAAAAATGGAAAATTCCTTTTGAGTATGATTTTATGCAACATAAAATTATGGAGAGAGAAGATATATATTGTTTTAGAGATTTCTATGCTTGTAAAATTTTGAGGTAAAAAAATTAAGACAATCTTAATTATCTTTCTAATTTGTTTTTATGAAAACTGAAGAATTTTCAAGTTAAGACTTCCTTTTGAGAGACTTGTGTCTTAAATAGTATTAAATGATTAAAAACTAAATATGGTTCTTAAAGGTTGTTTATTATGAACAGTTTATTTAGAACATTTCTACAATTAGAATTATGATATCATTCATTCTCTCTATTGTGCCTTGTGTTATTATTAAATTTTCATTAACATTTGTTTTCTTCCAAAGAGGAGAAAAAACTTTTCTAGCAAATGCACCATTTAATAGTCATATAAAATGTCAATCGACTTCCCTATTTGAAAGTTATTAGTAATTGTTTTTGTATACAAAATCGCAAGTATCACAACCCTGATCAATTGTTGCAACATTTTCCCCTTGTAATTAAAATAAACTGTTAAGAGAGAGTAAGAGAGAGAGAAGTAAATCTCCTAAATATACTTCCTGTATATATGACAGTTTTAAATATAACTTTTATCTACATGTGACACATGCTGCTTTATATTTAGTCAAAATATTTATTGTGTTTATTATAAAAAATAAACAGCAAAATATTTACTATGTTTATTAGTTTCTTGATGAGAAGGAAGATAAGGATAAGTAGCTTTTTATAAATACAAAAAGTTTTACATCATTTCTTTTAAAACCTTAAGTGCTTTGCTCTCAGTTTTGTATTATTTTCTTTTTTGTGACCAAAAAGTTGACTAGACAAGTAAAACCACCTCAGACAGCACATTCAGTTGTATGTAGAGGTTATTTAGCCTCTTTTGTGAGAAAGTATAGCACTCAGTACTGAAGTAACAAATAGGGTTTAAAATTATTTTATTTCTATAGCAGAAAATAGGTTAGTTGCAAAGATTAGTGTTTTAGTTTATTTTTAAATTAATTTCTAAAAATGCTATGTATATATCTTTCTGATCTCTTTCCAGAGTGAAGGAAAGACCTTAAATTGGTAGATTTATTATACCAGAAAATAATTTTTTAATTATTATTTGGTGAATGAATACATTTGCTGTCAGTTTATCCTGTAATAGTTAATCTTTATTTTCTTCATTATTCTATAAGATTCTTACTATATTCATTTCTGTACATCCACTAATTTCATTTGACTGCTGAAAGATCAGAGAAACATGTGACCTGAACTTTTGACATAATCTGATACCTATTGGACATAAGTAAGACCTAAGATCTTATTAAAAACTTTGGCATGTGGATCACAAGGTCAGGAGATTGAGACCATCCTGGCTAACATGGTGAAACCCCATCTCTACTAAAAATACAAAAAAATTAGCTGGGCATGGTGGCGGGTGCCTGTAGTCCCAGCTACTTGGGAGGCTGAGGCAGGAGAATGGTGTGAACCCGGGAGGCAGAGCGTCCAGTGAGCCGAGATTGCGCTACTGTACTCCAGCCTGGGTGACAGAGCCAGACTCTGTCTCAAAACAAAACAAAACAAAAAAACCTTGGCATCATTATCATTTTCAAAAAACTCTGAATTGTTTTCTTAAGAATCTAATGTTTTTGTATTTATACATTTATTTTCTTTAATGTGAACTTGCCCTAATTGAACTTTATTATATTTAAGATATTTGATGAATATTTATAATTCCACCTATGTATAAGCTACTCAATAACTTGGTAGAAGTAGTACATTAAAAAAAGCAGATTTTCAGATTTCTTAATTTTCTAGCTAAACTCACTTTTAGAAATTTACTAAAGATTTTCATCATTTGGGTTTTAAATAAATATTTGTTCAAACTATATCCTAGTGTTTGAATAAATGTTATAAGTTAAACTCAGAAGCACTAAATATTAAGATTGAACAACTTCTCGGTTATATACATTTATGAAGATTGCATTTAAGTCATAAAATTTGGGAGTTTAAGAATACTTAATTTTATCCTTTAATATACTCTCTAATTTTATTCTTTTATTGAACATCCATGGCATGCAGAAGACTAAACTAGCACTGTAAAGGAAGTGCTTCCAAAAAATTAATTTAGAACATATACAGGTTCTTTTCCTTTTATGTTATATATAAATTATAATATATTCTAAAGTTCCCTTTTTAGTTCTAATTTTGTCCAGCTAATTTTTTAAGAAGTAAATTCATCCTCAAATCTCTCTCATTTCACACAGTCAGGTGGAATAAAAAGGCTGAGAATCTTAAGATTCAATGCATGGAGCTGGGTGTGGTGGCTCATGCCTGTAATCCCAGCACTTTGGGAGGCCAAGGCTGATGGATCACCTGGGGTCAGGAGTTCGAGACCAGCTTGGCCAACGTGGTGAAACCCTGTCTCTACTAAAAATACAAAAATTAGCTGGGCATGGTGGCATGCGCCTGTAATCCCAGCTATTCTGGAAGCTGAGACAGGAGACTCACTTGAACCCAGGAAGCAAAGGGTGCAGTGAGCCGAGGTTGCAGTGAGGTGAGATTGCACTACTGCACTCCAGCCTAGGTGACAGAGTAAGACTCTGTCTCAAAAAAAAGAAAAAAAAAAAAGATTCAGTGCATACACTTGTACTTATTCTATTGGTTCTGAACTTAAATCAGAGAGCTTATTAAAATGTTAGGGCCGGGCACGGTGGCTCATGCCTGTAATCCCAGCACTTTGGGAGGCCGAGGCGGGTGGATCACGAGGTCGGGAGATCGAGACCATCCTGGCTAACACAGTGAAACCCCGTTTCTACTAAAAATAAAAAATAAAAAAAAAATTTAGCCAGGCGTGGTGGCCAGCGCCTGTAGTCCCAGCTACTCGGGAGGCTGAGGCAGGAGAATGGCGTGAACCCGGGAGGCGGAGCTTGCAGTGAGCCCAGATCGCGCCACTGCACTCCAGCCTGGGCGACAGAGCGAGACTCACTCTCTCTCTCAAAAAAAAAAATAATAATAATAATAATAATTAGTAAAATAAAATAAAATGTTAGCTATGTCATTTGAGAGAAAATGAAAATTTACGCTTGGGAAATTAGTTATAAAAAATAATAATTTTAGAGAAAAAGTAAATATTAGTCCATAACACTAAGTGCAATGGATTTACTACCGTGATATGTTTTATCAAATGGGGTTTCAGAATCCTTAGCTAATGAAAAAATGATTTTAAATTATGATTTTAAAATCATCCAGGAAATAAAAGTATTATTTGTGAACAAATAATTTTAACATTGTCAGAATTTAAAGGGGAGGAGTCACGTTTCAAAGATTGGGGAGTATGTGAACGAATACTCATTACAACTTGAGAATACCAGCCTTCTCCCAGTTTGCCTCTGGAAGGCTGGCATTCCAGGATTCTAACCTCCAGCAGAAGAACGGAAAATTCTTCTCTGAGGAAGTGAACAGCCCTAATTAAAACAAGAAGCAAAAACAAACTGAAAGGTGTTAACATTGAGGTTTTTGCTAATGAAATGGCTAAGCCACAACATCCAAGATTAGGCTGAGAAGCCTTAGCCATGCCCAGAGAGTTTCTAATCAACTTTTAGTTTCCTACGGGTGTGGGGCAAAAAATCAAATGAGCCCTCCAGGATCAATAGACAATTGAGTCCAATATGAAAGACAGAGAGAGAGAGAGAGAGAGAAAGAGGAAAAGAAAAAGAAAAAGGAAAGGAGCATCTTGGAAGACATACATCTTGAAAGGAGAAGAAAACTTTAATCCAACATTAATAATTTTCAGACAGGACACCGTGTTCATGACATGAGAACATTTAGTGGATTTCCATTTTATAAGGAGTGCATTTGAAGACTGAGTGGTGTTATCTGAAATAAGTAACATGCTTTTTCTTGCCCCTAAACAGTCCACGTTCTCTGACCTCATCTACAATTCAATTATACAAATCATATGACATTATGAATTTTGAGGGTCAACCATGTTAAATATTGACAATTTAATATAGTCTGACCTAATACTATTCTCTATTCTTTGTGTTGCACACTGTATTAGTCAGACTGCTCTCCTTGCCTTTTTACAAAAATGGACATTATTTTTAGAGCAGTTTTAGGTTTACAGAAATATTTTGCTGAAAGCACAGTCTTCATATTAGAACCCCAGGTTCTGCTGTTATTAAATTCTTGCAGTAGTGTGATAGTTTTGTTACAACTGATTAACAATATTAAAACATTATTATTAAATAAATTCCATAATTTACATTAGTGTTTACTCTGTGTTGTAGAGTTCTATGGGTTTCTACAAATACATAATGTCCTGTATCTCCCATACAGTATCATACCTACTAGTTTTACTGCCTTAATAAAGCTCTATGCTCTACCTATTCATGCCTGCATCCCTTCCTCTGACCACTTGGCAATCATGATCTTTTTACTATCTCTGTAATTTTGCTTTTTCAAGAATATCATACAGTCACACAGTATATAGCTTTTTCAGACTGGCTTTTTTCACTTCATATGCATGTTCCCCCATGTCTTCCCATAGCTTGATAACGCATTTATTTTATCACTGAGTAACACTCCATTGTGTGGATGTTCCATAGTTTATCCATTCACCTGTTGAAGGACATCTTGGTTGTTTCCAATTTTGACAATTATGAATAAAGTTCTTATAAACATTCATGTGCAGGTTTTTTGTCTATATAAATTTTCAACTTATTTGGGTAAATACAAGTGTGATTTTTGCATCATATGATAAGACTATATTAGCTTCATAAGACGCTGCCAGATTGTCTTCTAAAGTGGCTGTACCTTTTGCATTTCCATCAGCAATGAAAGGATCCCTGTTGATTCACATCCTCATCAATAATCTTTATTATCAGTGTCTTGGATTTTGGCCATTCTGATAGGTATGTAGTTGTATTTTATTATTGTTTTAAAATTACAATTCCCTGATGGCATATAATTTTGGGCATCTTTTTATATGCTTACTTGCCATCTGTATATCTTCTTTAGTGAGGTGTCTGTTCATATCTTTTTCCTATTTTATAATTTTTAAAAAATTGTATATTTTGGATAAAAGTCCTTTGTTTAAAATATATATGTTTTGAAAATGTATTCTTCCAATTTTTGGCTTGTCTCTTCATTCTCCTAATAGTGTTTCTCTCAGAGCAGAAGTTTTTAATTTTAATGAAGAGCAACTTATCAAATTTTTGCTTATATGTGTTGTTTTTAGTGTTGTATCTAATATTCATTGCAAACGCAAAAATTTGCTCCTAGACTTTCTCCTATATTATTATTTAAACGTTGTATGGTTTTGTATTTTATACTTAGGTCTACGATCCATTTTGAGTTACTTTTTGTAAAAGATGTAAGGTCTCTGTCTAGGTTCTTACTTATTATTTTTTGCGTGTGAATGTCCACTTTTTCCGGAACCATTTTTCTTTGTTGAAAAGATTATCCTGTCTCCACTGAAATGTTTTCTCCCTTGCCAAAGATCAGTTGGCTGTACTTGTGTTGGTCTATTTCTGGGCTCCCTATTCTGTTCCATTAATTTATTTAGCTGATACCACACTGCCTTGATCACTGTAGCTTTATACTTTATAGTTAGACTTGAAGTAGGGTAGTATTAGTCCTCTGACTACTTCTTTAGTATTATGTTGACTATTCTGGATCTTTTTCCTTTCTATACAAACTTTAGAATGTTTATTGATATCCACCAGGTAACTTTCTGAGATTTTGACTGGGAATGCATTGTATCTATAGATCAAATTGGGAAGAATTGGCATCTTAATAAAGCGTTTTTACTCATGAACTTGAAATATTTCTTTGTTTATATCTTCGATTTATTTCATAAATGTGTCATAGTTTCCCTCATATATCTCTTGTACCTATTTTGTCAAGTTTAAAGGTAAATGTTTCTATTTTTGCAAGCTAATATAAATGGCATTGTGTTTTAATTTATAAATTCAATTGTTTATTGCTGTTATATAGGAAAGCAACTGACTTTTGTGTATGTTTTGTATCCTGCAACTCTGCTATAGATGCTTATTAGTTCCAGAAAGATTTTGTTTCTTTGAAATTTTCTACATAGACAACATATAATTTTCCAACAAAGAAAATTGTATTTCTTCCTTCCCAATTTATATACTTTTATTTAGTTTTCTTTTTTATTGTATTAACTAGGACTTATACTATTATATAGAATACTAGTGGTGAGAAGAGACATTCATTTCTTGTTCCTGATCTTACGAGAAAAGCATCTCGTGTCTCAACATCAAGTATGAGGCTATCTTTGGTTTTTTGTAGATGTTATTTTTCAAGTTGAGGAGCTTCCCATTTATTCCTAGTTTTCAGAAAGATTTGTTATAAATGGATATGGGTTTTGTCAAATGTTTTTCTGAATATATTGAGATGATCATATGATTTTTTTCCTGATCCAAACTCTTTATAAATATGTTAATGAGAGATATCATTGCAATCACACTAGTGGTATTTACTAGGGACAGAGTCCTTATCTATGTAATGCTTTTACAGCAGAATGTACTGTAGCTGTTTGTCATTGTTGCTAATTGTAAATAAATCTGAAATTATTGATTTATGAAGCATGATTCTCTGGAAATGTCACTTAATTGATGCAATTAGAGGAGTATAAAATGCAAAGCTTTAATGACTGTTGAATAGCTTCCTTTTGTGTATGTAATTCTATGTATGCATCATTTAGAAACCACTTACTTTAAATCTGGGTAAGGGCTCATTGTAATGTGACAAGAAAAGAGAACTGATACAAATATACTTTTGACCATACTGCTTGCTGTGCTTTGAGTAACAAAGTTAATTCGTATCTGACCCAGGAATCTCTTTTTCTTTTTGCCAGTATCATGAAATAGTAACCAGTTAACTTACTAGCTTATAGATAGGGTAAAATGAAATACTGACCCAATACATTTCTACATGACAACAGTTAGCTGGAACTGCATAGCATCTGCTTCTTTCAGTGAATCATATAGTCTCCAGTTTCCCATGGTCCTACTACTGTGGACCACTGTCAGTTACTTTTCTTTTCTAATTGAGTTTTTATTTTCTTATTGTAAAATTAAGAGGGATGATAGAGTAATGGTTAGCACCAAGGACTTAAACTATGATGCCCATGTTCAAATCTGAATTTCACTACATAAACCTGTATGACTTTAGACAAGTTACTTAAGGTTTATATGGCTCTGTTTCCCCATCTGATAATGGTGATGGATATAATAATAGTGCTTTCTTTATAATTACTGTTAAAATTTACCAAGTCAATATACATAAGTACTAAGGATAGTGCTGGACATATATTACAGTAAATGTTAGCTGTTACTATTATGAATTATGTCCCTATTAAAAATGAGAAAGTAAAAGAGAAATATTTGGGTCAAAAACTGCAAATAGGATATTATTCATGGCATAGTTCTGTGTGCTTATGCAAAGTGTATCTGTATTGGAGAATTAGTTTAGTAATATTCCAGATGGTTACAGGAAGCTAGAAACATAACATTACATGGTTGTCTTTGTGATGTAATTTTTGTAATTATTTTTAGGTTTCATGGAAGTTGGCAATAGAAACCTTAATTTTGAAGAAACTTAAAGTAACAGAAACTTAGGTGTAATCTCAGCAATGAGAAAGGACCATCTTATAGAATATTCTAAGCTATCACAGTATGTTATCTTGACTCTCTTGGCTGTGTTCTTTTTTAAATGACATATTTTTTGAGGTTAATAGATCTTTTGTATGCCTAGTAGAGAGTTTACTGTGACCTATATAATTCATTAGATTTGGTAGCATATAACTTTCTGCTTTTAACGTTAACTTGTGGGAAAAAATACACAGAATAGACAAATATCAAGCAGACACATGTCTATATTACAGAGATACTGGGGATTTGATCCTAAACATTTTCAATAATATTGCTTATTATTAATAATCATTTAGAACAATTGTAATTGATATAAATGTTTCTTCCTCAATGATTGCTTGATTCAGATTGGATAGTTGATTATATCAGCAGAACTAACACCGCAAATGCTAAACTGGTAACAGTGCTGTGTGCAGATCATTATGTGATTGTATTGTTACATCACAGAAGAAAAAGACAGACATCAACAGGACATAAAAATACATTAAATAGACAATAATGAATAATATTAGAGCAACTCTGCCACACCTAGAAAATCTATTTTAAATAATCTTCACATAATGCTATTTTAACACATAGATTGGGTTTCTAAAATGAATATGATGACTACCAATTTGATTAAAAACAAAAGTCATGTCTTTTGTAAAATGTTGAGTTGCTTATACAATTAGTTCCAATTGACAAGAAGGAGTTTCCCCTGTCGTGCTATCATTTACCATAAAAATGGAGAATTAAAAAATTAAATTCTGAATGTAGAGTGCCAATTAACGAATATATAGATAATCTAGTGACATCTGTCACAGATTAATTTAAAAAATTTTTTTCTTTATTTTAGGCAGTGAAAATGGCTATAAAATCAGGCTTCACTGATACCTACCATAGCACAGAATTTTTCCCATAAATGCTATTGTTTTGTACTAACTAGAGCACATCCTGAAATATTTTAGTAAATTTCTTTTTCTTGTTCTATATCGAACATAAAATGAACCTCTTCACCTCTGAGGTCAGAGTTACTACTAATTTCAACACTCAATATCATTCAAAATTTGTATTTTATATTTAAGAATAATTATTTTCTTAGACCTTTCACTTTTAAAAAAATTTTCATCATCACTAATAGGTTTCTTTTTACATCTGTATTTCACCAGGAAATTCAGTTTTAATAATCACTGTGTTACTACATATGCAGTTTGAATTGAAATGCAGATGCCAACAGCTTAAAAATAAGTAATACAAATATGTGCCGGAATAAAATCACAAATAACATAAATAAAAACATAGATTTTTATAAATTTTCAAAGTAATTAGAACTTTATATGGTAAATTCATTAAAGTCAAATTCCTATTTTAGTTGTTTCTTCCTTTCTATTATTAGCTGAGTAGGATATAATCTTGGAGGGGAAGAAGGCATAAATAAATGCAACACATTTTATATATTGTTATTATTCAGGTCTTCATGGGTAACAGCGTAATGGTTAAAAATTTACCTTTTCTGATAAGACAGACAAAGGGGGTCCACCTGGCTATTCCATTTCTTCTTACTCTACTCATATCCAGAGAATTTGAGAACTGAGCTCCAGATTCCTCACCTTTAAAATGGGCATGATATAGTGTTGGAAGTTCTGGCCAGGGCAATTAGGCAGGAGAAGGAAATAAAGGGTATTCAATTAGGAAAAGAGGAAGTCTAATTGTCCCTGTTTGCAGATGACATGATTGTATATCTAGAAAACCCCATTGTCTCAGCCCAAAATCTCCTTAAGCTGATAAGCAACTTCAGCAAAGTCTCAGGATACAAAATCAATGTACAAAAATCACAAGCATTCTTATAAACCAGTAAAACAGACAAACAGAGAGCCAAATCATGAGTGAACTCCCATTCACAATTGCTTCAACGAGAATAAAATACCTAGGAATCCAACTTACAAGGGATGTGAAGGACCTCTTCAAGGAGAACTACAAACCACTGCTCAATGAAATAAAAGAGGATACAAACAAATGGAAGAACATTCCATGCTCATGGGTAGGAAGAATCAATATCGTAAAAATGGCCATACTGCCCAAGGTAATTTACAGATTCAATGCCATCCCCATCAAGCTACCAATGACTTTCTTCACAGAATTGGAAAAAACTACTTTCAAGTTCATATGGAACCAAAAAAGAGCCTGCATTGCCAAGTCAATCCTAAGCCAAAAGAACAAAGCTGGAGGCATCACACTACCTGATTTCAAACTATACTACAAGGCTACAGTAACCAAAACAGCATGGCACTGGTACCAAAACAGAGATATAAATCAATGGAACAGAACAGAGCCCTCAGAAATAACGCCACATATCTACAACTATCTGATCTTTGACAAACCTGAGAAAAACAAGCAATGGGGAAAGGATTCCCTATTTAATAAATGGTGATGGGAAAACTGGCTAGCCATATGTAGAAAGCTGAAACTGGATCCCTTCCTTACACCTTATACAAAAATTCATTCAAGATGGATTAAAGACTTAAACATTAGACCTAAAACCATAAAAACCCTAGAAGAAAACCTAGGCATTACCAATCAGGACATAGGCATGGGCAAGGACTTCATGTCTAAAACACCAAAAGCAATGGCAACAAAAGCCAAAATTGACAAATGGGATCTCGTTAAACTAAAGAGCTTCTGCACAGCAAAAGAAACTACCATCAGAGTGAACAGGCAACCTACAAAATGGGAGAAAATTTTTGCAACCTACTCATCTGACAAAGGGCTAATATCCAGAATCTACAATGAACTCAAACAAATTTACAAGAAAAAAACAAACAACCCCATCAAAAAGTGGGCAAAGGACATGAACAGACACTTCTCAAAGGTAGACATGTATGCAGCCAAGAAACACATGAAAAATTGCTCACCATTACTGGCCATCAGAGAAATGCAAATCAAAACCACAATGAGATACCATCTCACACCAGTTAGAATGGCAATCATTAAAAAGTCAGGAAACAACAGGTGCTGGAGAGGATGTGGAGAAATAGGAATACTTTTACACTGTTGGTGGGACTGTAAAGTAGTTCAACCATTGTGGAAGTTAGTGTGGCGATTCCTCAGGGATCTAGAACTAGAAATACCATTTGACCCGGACATCCCATTACTGGGTATATACCCAAAGGACTATAAATCATGCTGTTATAAAGACACATGCACACGTATGTTTATTGCAGCACTATTCACAATAGCAAAGACTTGGAACCAACCCAAATGTCCAACAATGATAGACTGGATTAAGAAAATGTGGCACATATACACCATGGAATACAATGCAGCCATACAAAATGATGAGTTCATGTCCTTTGTAGGGACATGGATGAAATTGGAAATCATCATTCTCAGTAAACTATCGCAAGAACAAGAAACCAAACACCACATATTCTCACTCATAGGTGGGAATTGAACAATGAGAACACATGGACACAGGAAGGGGAACATCACACTCTGGGGACTGTTGTAGGGTCGGGGGAGGGTGGAGGGATAGCATTAGGAGATATACCTAATGCTAAATGACGAGTTAATGGGTGCAGCACACCAGCATGGCACATGTATACATATGTAACTAACCTGCACATTGTGCACATGTACCCTAAAACTTAAAGTATAATAATAATAAAATAAAATAAAAGAAGTCAAAAAATAAAAAATAAAAAATAAATAAAATGGGCATGATAATAGTGTCTATTCCTGTGATACTATGGGTTACGAAAAAAGTATCTAGGCTGTATGGTGCATGGTAAGTGCTGATTACATTGTTTAATACTTTTCTTTTTATAATCAGTAGGTACCTTTTTAAAAAAGAAGACATTTGAATATATCTACCCTAAACTATTAATAAATAATTTGAATTTGATTGTACTTACATATGAATAGTTTTTAAATGTTTTGTGTGCTAATTTTATTCTTACTAAGTGGATCCTTCTTTAGTTTCTCTTCTGTGTTAGTAGAGAAATCTGTAATTTAATGTACATCTATTAATTAGCTATGTGTGCTCATTACTGGCCTTATTTCATAGTGATCCCAAATGGAAAACTGAAAAAAACCCTGTAAGTGTAAATTCTAAATCATGTGTTAAAATACATATGATTAAAATGAACTTGGATATTTTTGTTGAAGCATGTATTTCCTTTTAGCAATTTCATTTATTTTTTTTTTTACTGATATGTTCACACATATAATTACTAACATCTACAAAACATTTAAAGAAACAATTATATGGCTTTTTTCCCCAAAGAACAGTATTTAATGATGTATATATAGGTTTTTCATAATTTTTTAAAACAATTTATACATGCAATTTGAATGAGAACTACAACAATCTCCTAATCTTGAAAATACCTATGCTGGATAAGAGTAGGCTCAGTTGCATATAAAATCAAGATAAAAGTAACTATAGAAATGTCTTCTTTGTAACAAGAGGTAGGGAGCTTAAGGCTCATATGGAGGCTCCATGAAGTCACCAGCATCATGGGCTTCAGCCAGCTCACCATTTAGGAAGCCTGGCCATGTGTCTTCACCCTTCCGGTTCAAGATGGTTGTTCTCGACATAACATCTAAGTTCTATATGCCAGGAGGGAGAGAAAGGAAAGGGTTGCTCTTGTCCTTTTGAAGGAAATAATCCCAAATTTGCCATAAAAATTATTTTTGTAATTGGATAATGATTTTCTTTACTTGCTAATGGCCAGTACTTAGAGATCCATAGCCACCATCCAGCTGTAAAGGGGCCAGTTAAAAGCAGGAATATTAAAATTAGCAGTCTCTGCCATATATGTTTTGGAGAATACAGGTACACATTCAAAAGTGTTGCAGACATCTATTAAATCTGGCTTTATAAACTATCAGAAATTGGTCAGACTATTACAACCCAGTCATCATTTTTTTCATGATTAAATTGTTATAATAGCTATAATTGGTTCTGCATCACCTGCTAAGAAAATGGTAGAGCTATTAAAAAACAGTAAATGCCATGTCATACTACTCAATTGTTCAATACATCAAACCATTTTAGAGTTCTTTTAAAGTGTTTTTACTGAATAGGTAACAATCTTCAGTTTCAAAGAACATTTTATGGTTTATGAGCAGATAGTACCTGACTGTCCATTAGGAGTATTGCTTTAGAACAATATTTATACTAAGTAAAATGCTTCAGTAATTGACTTTAATTTTTTTTACCTCATACTTTTAATTTTGAAAAAACAAAAAGTAAAAACTACTACTATAAATTTGTTAAGGCTTTAAATTGACATAGCTATCTAATTCAGAAAGTTGTTCATATGAGTAACTGTCTGCCTCTTCTTACTCTCTGATAAAAGTACTAAGATATGGGAGAAGCCATCAGAGAGTTTAAAAATGCAGGTTTTTGTCTGTTCTGGTTATAAGTGAAACAGGTCATTTGCCTTGGGATTCAAGAACCTTGTGGCAGTGCAGCTAATGATTTAAATTTAATTAATTTATCAAGGCATAGAATTTTAGAATTCACAGAAACCATTGAGAATACATCCTCCAATATTGTCATTTTATAGTTGAGGCACTGAGGTCTGGAAAGTTTAAGTGACTTGGTAAGGTCATATTAATGAGTTAGTGGCAGTACTGAAACCAGGGCAAGGGTTTTACTGCCTTTTAATCTAATACAGTCTTGCCCATCCCCCCTCCCTCCCTCCCTCCCTCCTTTCCTTCCTTCCTTCCTTCCTTCCTTCCTTCCTTTCTTCCAACTCTATTTTCTGCATTTTAGTAGTATTAGCATAAAAATAGTTGTGTATCACACAGGTTTCAGATGCGGAAAAAGAAAATCAATTTGTTTGGGCAAAAATTAATTTAATACAGGGAATAAGGTGCTTATTATCTTGTTGGAAAAATTGATGTAGGGAACTCCAGGATGGATTTTCAGAAATAACTTGCAAAACACCATGATATAGTCCAGCAGAGGAGCTGAGGCTGCTGCCACACATTTTCACATTTTTAAAACTAGTGACTGGAATCTGAAATAGCTGGTAGGTAAGCTACTGTCACTAACTTCATAGCTGTCGTTTGACATGCATAAAGCTTCTGAATAGTCTCGAATCATACAGCAGAAAACTCCATGTATCAACTATGTGTGCCAGTAGAGCTAAGCAAAAAAATATATATATACACTACATATATATAGTATATATTTAGTATATACTATATACTATAGTATATATTTAGTATATATATTTTAGTAATTATATATACTAAATTTATAAATTTAGTAATATATATAGTATATATATGTTTTATATATATAGTATATTGTCTATATATAGTATACTATATATACTATATATATAGCATATACATATATGTATATATATACACTATATATATATGTATATATACCTATACTGTATATACAATAATGGCCTGTATTTCAATGTTATTACTCTCCCACATGTGTACATTTAATTGTTGGGACCCTATTCCAGAACTCCAACTATAAGAAAGTCTGATAAATGCTGTCTTTAAGTTTGTGGCCACTATAGTGCAAAGTCAACCCAGGAGGGAAGGTGGCTTCATATATAAAGCACGCGCGCGCACACACACACACACACACAAATGCACCCACACATGGAAACAAAACAGAACAAAGAAGAAAATAGAGCTGCAATTTCAGCTGGAGAGCCTTCTCTTATTCTTGGCACACTCAAGGAATACCATTTTAAAAGCAGTGCAGGGCACCGCATTCAAATTTGGAATATGTTGCTTCAAAGTTCAAAGAGGCCTGTCAAGCTGTGTATGATAGGGAATACAGAGTTTTTTTCTTTTCTTTTCCTTTTGGACTTTGCCCCAGGTCGGTGGATTTCCAGGGCTTTCATAAATGTAGCAGGCCTTGAATTTTTATGAAGTTTCAGGCTTGCAAATATAATTAATTCATATAATCATAGAAACTTATACTTCATAGAAATCTTGGAGAATGTATACTTCAGGCCAGGCGCGGTGGCTCATGCCTGTAATCCCAGCACTTTGGGAGGCCGAGGCGGGTGGATCACCTGAGGTCAGGAGTTCAAGACCAGCTTGACCGACATGGAGAAACCCCATCTCTACTAAAAATACACAATTAGCTGGGCATTGTGGTGCATGCCTGTAATGCCAGCTACTCGGGAGGCTGAGGCAGGAGAATCGCTTGAACCCAGGAGGTAGAGGATGCGGTCAGTCGAGGTTGCACCATTGCACTCCAGCCTGGGCAACAAGAGCAAAACTTCGTCTCAAAAAAAAAGAGAATGTATACTTCAATATTATCAATATATACTTGGTACATTTGAGGTCAAAAGAGATTGCATGGCTTTACCTTAGGTAATAACAGTTAGTAAGAGGCACTGTAGAGGGTAGAACTAAAGATTTCTTCCTTCAAATGCTTTTTTATAGTACCGTTTCCCCTACATGTATTATAATTATTAATATGGTGAGAATTTTATGCAACATTTTAATTTCAGGACTTAGATCAAAGTTATTTGAAAATACATATTTTGAATATGAATAATGAATACTTGCTTTGGTTAATCTCTTTAAAACTGGCAATAATGTCATCAATAGCAATGCAGTGCTTTGTGGTTTTAGGCAACTAGTGTTGAAAGGATTGATTGTTTGAATCTAGGGAAATTTGAGAGTTCATGCATTCTAGAACTCTGAAAATATTTTAAGGGTTTGATTGTAGAGGATTCAGCACCATCTTTTTTTATCATGCTGTTCTGTTTAACAGTGAGGAAAAATTCAGTTTGGGCTCCAGAAAATTATACATGGAATAAACATACCCACATGACCATTGCTTTAGCACTTTGGATTATTTTGACCAATTTACTGCTCTTTTGTATCAGGTTTCCAAATACCACCTAGATTTCTACTTCCTCTTATTCTGAATATTATGAATCACATTTAAAATTTACAATATCCCTGAAATAATACGTTGAAAAATTTTCTGCTTTTGTTTCTTCTCTTTTTCTTCTCTTTTTTCAGTATCATCAATGACTCAAAAAATGTGTGAACCTCTGTTACGTGAAAGACCTATTACTCTCACTCTTGCCCTCAAAAGAGCTTTTGATCTGATTAGAGGGACCACACATACACTTGCACAGAGTAGTTAAGAGGAAAAAAGAAGGCTTGAATGGTAAGTAGTAGAGAAGATCAGAGAAGGGAGAGATCACTAGTGAGTGCTTAAGGCAGGTAACACATTTCAGAGAATATTTCAGTCTAGACTTGAAGGATACATTATAATATGCATAATTTGTGTTAAACCCTTTAGGTCAATGTTAGATCCCAAGGACATTTTAAGTAAATTTGTGATAAACTGCTTGACATTTTAAATTTATGGTGATATAAATCATCTTTTAAAGAAAAATTAAATTTAAAACATAAAATGAGAAATTTCATTGCAATGATATAAACCACTTACAAAAAGATACACTTAGAATACATACATATATATAGCAAAATGCCAGAAATATTTTATACACCAGAGTAAAGATATAAGATGTGATAGAAAAATCACATATGTTTCTGAATTTTTATTCTTTTCATATTTAATTATGGGACATTGCCAATGCAGGAAAAAAAAAAATATAAAGCCGTATATTCTTTAATTTAATCCTGGTAGAAAATATAACTGAAGCCAGAGGTTACAAGCCTCAGTTGACAATTTAATGAAGACTTTTGAAAGAAGGGGAGATTCTGGGTGCTTTGGGAAGACAAGCCCTGAGTGAATAATTACATCAGTTTAGACAAAGAAAAGGTCAACAAATACTTATACATTGGTTACTAAAATATTTGTTAAATATATGTTTATTTTTTATCTAATTATGATGAATTTGAATTTTTCCTTAAATCCATTTGCTGTGAAGGCAAAAGATCTTTTCAGTAATAATTGAAACATTTATTTTTTAAAGTTCTAATGGCTGTTAACTTGTTACCATGAACCCATAAATATTCTCTATAGATGACAAAAATGTTTGTTGTGGAATACCTACTTTTTGTTTAAAATTGTTAAGTGCTGTTGTTCATTGGATGCAAGTTTTACCCACCACACTTGTAACATCAACTGACATTGTAAAATCACTGACATTGTTTCCTGTAATTTTCTTAGCATATATGTGGCTTGAGTTGGCTTGTTAGCAGTTTGCATCAGGGTTTTCTCCCTACAGGCTTATTTATAAAAATGTAATGCTTCTAATGCATTCACTTCTGGAAAAGCAACACAGATGTACCTTTCTCTCAGACATTAGGATGTGTTGTACACAATGTAGGTCATTACTCAGGTTCAGGACAAGAATCTGCTGCTAACGTAAAGGGAACTGGGGAAGTTCTAAAAGCCAGTGATTTCCTGATTTTAAAAACAGCACATAGAAAGAAGTAACAAGAAGCCTCCAACTGCCTTTTCTTTTGGATTTTAATGTGAATTTTACATTCTGTTGTCATCTTACAGTCAACATTATCACGTGCCTTCGTGTGACAAGAGAAGATAATGCTCTCCTTCCCCCTGGCAGTTAAATGCATACTGATCTCCTTAGAATAAACTCAGTCATGTTCTCCTGAGATGCACCCCTAAAAGTCCTTTCCTTTGACCCTATATATCTTAATACCTCTGGAAAGTTTCATTGTATTCCTATCTTATGTCATAGCTATTTGTGGATATATACCCACATAACTCTCCTTACTGTATTGGAAGGTTTTTGTTAATAAATAGCTTGCATTAATTTTTACATCCCCTGGAGTTCTTAATACTGATGTAAAGAAAATACTTTAGAATTACTAGTTTGTGACCGGGCGTGGTGGCTCATGCCTGTAATCCCAGTACTTTGGGAGGCTGAGGTGGGCAGATCACCTGAGTTTGGGAGTTCGAGACCAGCCTGACTAACTTGGAGAAACCCTGTCTCTACTAAAAAAAATTACAAAAATTAGCTGGGTGTGGTGGTGCATGCTTGTAATCCTAGCTACTCAGGAGACTGAGGCAGGAGAATCGCTTGAACCCAGGAGGCAGAGGTTGCAGTTAGCCAAGATGGTGCCATTGCACTCCAGCCGGGGCAACAAGAGTGAAACTCCATCTCAAAAAAAAAAAAAAAAAAAAAAAAGAATTACCAGTTTATGTGAAAAATTTAACTTTTTTGAGACAGTTTTTTACCATGTAAAATGGAAATGAAAACCTTCTGTTTAATTTTTTTTGTGACAATCAAAATAATTGAAAATACCTTATAGTGTCTGGCATGTAGTATAGCAGGAGAAGCAGCAGCAACAGAAATAATAGTAATGACAATAATAGTAGTAGTACCAGCAGCAGCAACAGCAATAGTTACTGGATAGAGTTTTTATTTTTTAATGTTTTAAAGAATATATTTTCACACTTTAGTTTTTAGGAATATAGCAATAATAAAAAAAATTCTTCAGGGTTTTCTTTTTGTGAGGCCACTGGTCTAGGTTCTCCTCATAACAATCCTAAGAGATGGATGTTGTTACCATGCCCACTTACAGAGTTGAACTTGAAGCACAGAGAATTTTAGTAATTTTTTCAAGTACATGTAGGTGACAAAGTAACAAAGCAAGGATTCAGCCTCCTTTAGCCCAACTCCTCCAGAGGCCATCTGACACTAAAAGGGTACTCAATAAGTATTCATTGAATGATTGATGTCTGCATGTTTTCAAATTATGTATTTGACTTTACTCTTCTAATTTCTTTGTATATGGGTGCATTTACAGTCTTACACTATACATTTAGTTGTTTTGTGGAGAATAACTAGTGCAACACAAAAACAAGATGCATAATTTGTTGCTAAAAGGCATTATTGTTTTATTGCTGGGAAGCACTGTTATTACACAGTGCAAAATTTAAAAAATGTTATTGGTAAATACGAGGCCTACATATGTAAGTTTATAAGCATGTAGCCATATATTGCTGTTGCCTGTATAATCCACCCAAGAATAACAGTCTCATTGCTTTTCAGTCACATTTCCTATCTAAATATTGGTAGATATATATGACATGAACTAGGAGAGCAAAATATGTGAGATGTTACAAAAATATTATTTGCTTTTCTAGTGGAATCCTTTGATCCTTTTTTAAAATCTCAATTGAGTCCATTTTTAGAAAAGCTGAAAATAAGAGGTTGGGGTATTGTATCTATTGTTTGGTCTTATTACAGTCATTAACTGTAGTCAAGGTGCCTTTCAGGATGAGAGGATGATAGATAGGCCACATTCTCACGATCACATTCACTGTCATGGAGAACAAAAGTCAGGGAGGTGGGAGGTAGCAGAAGACAGAGTGCAGTGGGATACAGGTGCACCTTTTCCAGAGAAGAACAAGATGAATGTTCCCATTGTCACAGCTCCCTGCATTTCCTTAGTCATTAGTGTGACAGGTCTGTTATTGATGACATGACATGGGACCTGTTGTGAAGCTTCATTCCCCTTCTTTGAAGCTACTCCTGTGTCCTTTAAACAGTATATGGTTATCTAATGTGTCAGTACATCTGCCTTCATATCCCAATCTAAGCTATCTTGGTAATGACAGAAAATCACACCACTTGTAAAAAGGGAAGATGATATTAAAGTTTCATAGCTGTGTTAACTGCAATTCTTAGCAGTGGTTTCTTATGTAATAATAGGCAAGGTCAAGAATAAATTTATCTGAGTAAGAGAAAATAGCATAATTTGAGCTCTCAATCTGCTGCAAAAGAATGCTTTGTAGTCTAAAGCTCATCATTTTACTTATATGCTTTCTCCAGTTGCACTATTGAGATTAAGAAACAGTTTCAAAGTTCTGTTTCAAGAAATACTGCATGATATAGATCATTTGAATGGATTATTTAAATTAACTACTTGAGAAAAATAACTGAATGTCCAAATCATGACCAACCACTATTGATTCCATTTTAATAATTATTTGAAAATTATGGAATCTTTTTGGAACTGCTAGGAAATATATTTGATTTTAATTATATGTGTAGGCTTATTTTATAATCACTTATTAGATAATCAATATTGTCCCACTGAGAAGGTATGGGGAAAATCACTCTGAGAAACCACAGAGGTGAAGCATATATACCATTACAGGAAATACATGTTAATAATTTCTAATTTGAATCCTTAAGATTGAAACTTTATTGCTCATCAAAAAATGTTATCAACAATTTAATGAAGTTTATTTTTCTTGGATAGGGTTTTTTTTAAATTATACTTACAATTTTTTTAAAAAAGGATACCTTTTTACCTTTGTTAGGAATATAGCAATAATAAAAAAATGTGCTTTTCAGAGCAATTATCTATAATGAGAAGCCCTTCACATTGGGAATAAATCCAATTTGTTATATATTAAATTTGGCTTCTGTACATGCAGAGTTGCTTTACTGTAACTCTTTTAATATGTATAACCTCATTAGCATTATAATGACTTCATGCTGAAACTTGATGCAATAAACTTTCTTTTTTTTTTTTTTTTTGAGACGGAGTCTCGCTCTGTTGCCCAGGCCGGACTGCGGACTGCAGTGGCGCAATCTCGGCTCACTGCAAGCTCCGCTTCCCGGGTTCACGCCATTCTCCTGCCTCAGCCTCCCGAGTAGCTGGGACTACAGGCGCCCGCCACCGCGCCCGGCTAATTTTTTGTATTTTTAGTAGAGACGGGGTTTCACCTTGTTAGCCAGGATGGTCTCGATCTCCTGACCTCATGATCCACCCGCCTCGGCCTCCCAAAGTGCTGGGATTACAGGCGTGAGCCACCGCGCCCGGCCGCAATAAACTTTCAAAGAAAAAGTTAAAATAAAAATAAAAATAGAACAGAACATCAGTGGTGATGCAAGTCAAAGCTACATTTTGTCAGTACATTACTGGTTTTCTTATTATTCTCCAAACTAAACCTCCATGTTTGATTCTGCAAGATTGTGTCTTCAATAGAAGCATTATTAGTCAATTCCTTCATACATATGCCTAACTTTTAATATACTGGGTATGAGACTATAACATATAACATCCATGCGACATCCAGGTGGCCTTTAGGAGTCCCAAAATATACATGAGTATATATATTTTTGCAGACTAATTAGGTCAGAGTTTGTAAAGTATTACCTTAATAAAAATAAACTCAGCCATCAGAATGTTTGAAAAGATCCTTAAAATACATTTGGCTAGTCTCTTCTCTATTTGCCAAGTATACATTTTCTTCCCTTGTTTCTGAAACACGACTTCTTCCTGATTTTTTTTTTTAACCTCTCTGGATCATTGTTCATGTCCTCTGTAATATATCTTTCTTCTTTACCTGCTGCTTAAATGCCAGCCTATAGCAGTTCCTCAGAATTCTGCCCTGTCCTATTTTCTTCTCAAGTGCTATACCTTTATTATCAGTTTTATACCACTTAATCCAAACAAATTTTTATATAATTTCATTTTTCTTATGAGGATTGGATGTTTCTAGTCTACTAAGATCAGCTTCGGAATGACCCGCTGATAATGTAAACTCTGCTTCCCCCATTAAATCTACTCTATCCTATACATTATTTCAAATTAGAAATCCTGATATCAACTTTAATTTTTCTTTTCTTTTGTTTTTCTTTTCTTCTTTCTTCCTCCCTCCCTCCCTCCCTTCTTTCCTTCCTCCTTTCTTCCTTCTTTCCTTCCTTCCTTTATTCTTTGACCGTGTTCTCATTTCTGTTGACCACTAAGCCCTGTGAATTTAGTCTTTACAGCTATTCTTGAATTCATGCTATTCTTTCTATTCTCACAGTCATTTTTAATCTTTTACCTGGGTTACTGCACAGGCTTCTCATTCTGTTACAGATTTCTCCATCTGACAGTCACAGTTATCTTCCTAAGCCATAGATCTGATCATTTCAATGTTCATTGAAATGACATTTGTATTTCTTTAGTTCAAATATGGTTAATCCCAAATTCCTTAGCCTAGCCATCAAGATGTTTCACAGTCTGGCCACTTGTCTATCTTTCCAGTCTCATTTCCTAGCAATTTCCTATGGAGGACTGCTGGCTAATTCCAGAATATGGTATCTGTCTCTGTGCCTATCTTCCTTTATTTTGGCTTTGCCTGTTGCCTTGAATACCTTACCCACTTTTTCACCTGACACTCTTCTTATTCTTAAGTGCAGTCCTTAAATACTCATTATATATTGCTTTTTAATATATTTAATTAGTTACGTGAATTGACTCATACTATAAATAAACTTTTGCAGTTGGCTCTTTTGAGGCAATATTTTTGAGATATAGTCATGTAAAACATGTAGATGTTATTAATTTAAATTACTGATAATATCCTGTTATATAAATAAATCACTGTTTTCCACTCTACTGAGGGACAAATAGATTATTTTAACTTTTTTCTTTTATGTAAAAAAGGCTGCAATGAGCAATCTTGCCATTGTATCTTTCAGCATATGTGCACGATTCATTAAGTAATTAATGAATTAGTTTCAAATGACTAACCTGGGAACTTTTGAAGAGTAATGAGAGAATGGCAAAATGTAGACACCTGCCATCATTTTCCAAATTTTCTTACTTGAAATGTCCTTGTGTGAAGTATGATAGTATCAAAATACCCAGGTTATACTTGGTTTGGCATGTAGTTATATGATGCAAATAAATGTAAGGAAGGAAGAGTTTGAAAAAAATCTCAATATGAGTTTTTTTGTGCCATATTAAAGTGTGAGATAACATCTTACCCAACTCTCGTTAACATGCCTTACCTGCAGGTAAAAATACAAAATTTGGAAAGTAAATCCATAGCTTTCTTTGTTCTAAGTTATGGAGATAAATTAGTACTTTGGGAATCATTCCTTCCTTACAAATCAAATTGTTTTAACCTCAAGTCTTACTATATACTTGCTTGAAAACTGCACTAGGTTCTACTGTTCCAACTGTCACAAAATACAAAAAAGTTAGCAATTGCATCTGTACTTAAAGTAGTAAGTTTATTCTTCTTTGTTTATGTTTTTATAGCCTTAAAAATGTTTGTTGAAGTATTTTAGTTATTGAAATACACTGAATTAAATTGAAGCCCTATTACATATTGTCGTGGTCCTTTCACTTTACTTTGTATAAGAATTGCCTGAGGAATGTGTTAAAGTTTATATTTCTAGTTTCCACTGTGGATGATTCTGATTCAGTAGTTTGGGGATATTTATTTTCAATTTTTAACTTCCTTTATTTACCACAACTACCACCACCAAAGTGTGCACTGGAAACTGACTGCTTTAGAAACATAGGTTGAGGGCAAGAAGTGGGATGGTGGTAGTGATGATGGTGGTGGTGGTGGTGATAGTGGAGGTGGTCACAATGATGTCAGTGATGGTGATAATGGTGGTGGTAGTGGTAACTATAAAGGTGGTTGGAGTAATGGTGATTTAGGAGGTGGTGGTTCTGGTGGTGGATGAAATGAGCTGACATAGTTCAGGTCTTTGGAATCAAATAGTCTTGAGTTAGAATCCCAGCTCTAATAATATCTTTATGATCTTGGTCAGATTAGTTAACCTCTTTAAACTTTAGCCTTCTTGCTTGTATAACAGATATAATAATTTACCGAGTTCACAAGGCTTAGCATGATACCTGCCCTCTAGTAAGTACACAATAAATGTCAATTGTTATATATCCTAAAGTGGCTTTGTTCTTTTCTCTGATTTTGTAAACAACAGTTTGAGGATGGATTATCTATGGAAGAATGGAAATATGTTTGAAACTCAGGGTCTCTGAAACTCATAAACAAAAGCCAAGAAATATGTGGGCATCTTCTTATCCTAATTTCTGTATATATTACTTATTGATCCTTTAACATCAGAAAATCTAAAAGGCATTTCTTAAAGAAGTATTATTTATTAGGTGTCTGTTTTTTGTCCTGAATCTTAAATCAATGAGAGAGTTGCATGGTAACATTGCATGTTCTAGGAAATGAATTTCATCTTCTCTTGCCACTCTATAACTGATGGCAGTGGTAGGCATCCCATCTAGAGAGGCCACTGCCATGATGCTGGCTGTAGTGTGGGAGGAGTAGCAGGGGCTGCATGGTTCATGGAGCCAATGGGAGCCAGGAACAGGTGGAAGCTCTGACCCCTTCTGAATTTGCAGGGTTGGAATCTTATGCTCCCTGGGTGCAACTGCAGCCACCTAAGCTATGGCTGTGGATCTGGGCATTCCTGTGCTCTTGGGGGCTGGGAGCAAGCAGAGGCCCTGCCCTCTGGGTACAACTGCAGCCACCCATGCCATTGCTGCAGACACAGACATCTCTGCACTCTTGGGAGCCCAGGAAGGCCTCCCCTACCCCCATAGGCTTGTAAGTGCCTGCTTCTGCTGCTTGGCCTCTCCCTACTCCCGGTATGTACCTGCTTCAATCTTGGAGCAAAGTTGAGGCTGAGCCTGGGCACTGTCTCACTCCAGCTGGGTGTGTGTGTGCTCAGGGCAGTGATAACAGGCCAAACCCCTGGCACCTCAGCCCCTTCAGGACTTTGGGCACCAATGAGCATGGGAGGGAAGCTGACGGAGTGCTGAGGGCAGCTTGGTGCTGGTCTGCAGGTACCCCTCCGCATGAACAGCCTGGGCACCATGAACAGTGCCAGGAGGCAGATAGGCCCTGGCTGGAAAAGGGTGGGTCCCAGGTGGTCTAGCCTGAAGTCTAGGGGCCAGGATTCCAGCCCTGTGGACGGGAGTAGGAACTTATAGTACTTTTTCTGGGCCTGCCCATGGCTGTCCATGGACTGATAGCATGTAATTCCTCTCCTCTGATGCCCATAAAAACCTTGGACTCAGCCAGACTCAAAAAGATGACAGGATGACCAGCTGCAGAGGGGAGCTACCCACCCCAGGGTCTCCTCTCTGCTGAGAGCTGAACACTTGTTGGGACATCCTCGCTACAGAAAGGAGCTACGCACTGTTGGTCTCCTCTGAGCTGTTCTATTGCTCAATAAAGCTTCTCTTCACCTTGCCTACCCTCCACTTGTACCTGTACCTCATTCTTCCTGGGTGTGAGACAAGAACTCAGGAACTGCCGAATGGTGAGGCTGAAAGAGCTGTAACGCAAACAGAGCTGAAATACTCCTGTTGCTTGCCATGTTGCAGGCAACAAGAAGAGAAGAGCTACAGACCTTTGGGGAGCCCAGACCTAGAAGCTTCCCAAGCCAGCACTGTGACACCCTCTTTGGGGCTCTGCAGTTCCTGGCATCTCCGAGCTTCTGGGCACCACTGCATTCTCTGATGCCAGCTGTGGAAGCTGCTTACAGTACACCTGGTCCAGCCACAGCCTCACAGGGAGCCAGCACTCATGCAGGCACCTGGTGCTATCCACCCTGCCGCAGCCAGCCTCCCTGCCTGTGTGCAGTGGCTGGACCCCACGCTTGCTCACTCACACACCCCTCGCCACTCTGCTTGCCCTTGGCAGGCATGGGATCCAGGCCAGTAGCACAAGCCAAATACAGCCTGCCCAGCCGAGTGGGCCCAGCAGACCTGAGCAAAACTTGGGCAAAGGTGCCACTGGCCACAGAGGTTTCTGGCTGGTGAAGCATCACCCCAAGGATCCCGTGACATAACTATCCTGCTTTATCATAGGAGATACTGAGGTAAAAAAAATAGCTTCTTATCAGAAACATACACATACACAATTGAAAACTGTGGAGTACCTCACAAGGAAACTTCTTAAAAATGCCTTGCCTAAGATGGATCAAACCTGTAATCTGGAACTAAAGCTGAAAATCTGACCCTTTAAATAGTGTCTGGTGACTGAGATGGGTAGTCCATTGGATATACTGTAATAAACACTGAGGAAATAGAGAAAGAACTCTGGAGCTTTAGCACTTACAAGTAACCTAACCTCTGTGAATTTCTTCATCTTTGAAAATGAGAAAGTACGTGAAGTGCCTGGCTTATATTAGACTGTCATTGATTGTATTCTCCTTGTGAAAGGCAATATGCTTAGTGGTTAAGAGCATGAGCTTTGGAATCAGACAGAATCAATCTTAAATTGTATTGCTGCCACTGCTGATGTCAGTGAGTTTAAGCAATACTTAAGCTCTATATGTGTAGGTTTCTTATTTGTGAAATGCAAGTAATAATTGCATCTACATTTTTGGGGTTTTGTGAAGATTAAATGAGATAAAGGATAGAAAACACTTGGAAAACAAGGACTGCTATATAGTAATGCTTAATAAGTTATACATATCTAAGAATCATAAAAATTACTATCATTTTCTATTTTACCATATGAATATCTATGCCATATGTATATATACCTACTGTCACATCAAGCATACCCATGCATATAAATAACTTTAATTCATGGTATACTATTTTAATAATAACTTTAGGAAATTTTGCATGTAGGGTGCATTATATCATCAGTAATTTAAACTAAGTATTAACATAATGCTTTTGATTATTAACTATAGAATTTGTGTCAAATTTTAAGATTACAAATTCATCATTTGGCAAGGAATTTCTTATTGTTTTAGTTTCATCGCCTTTGCTGGCCGTTTGAAATAGCACAGCAGGCCTACAGATAAAAGGCTAACTTCAGATGAAACAGCTCTCAGATATAGTGAAAAGCTTCCAGAAAAAGTCCAATGACACAGAACTGCCTTTGGGATTGGCAATGATTTGTATCTGTTTTTGATGATTATTATTTTCAATATTAGAGTTAAATATGTCTTAAGCTTTTCTATATGTTATTTTCAGAAGTTTTTAATTCAGCTGTAAAAGATTGGTTTGATAATGGTTAGAGAAGAAATAAATTTCAGAAGCCCTTATAAGCAAGAAAAATTTACTTTTTTGTTATAAAAATGCAATATTTAAAATTGTAACACAATTGTTGGCTATTTTCTCTTATAAACAAATTTTAGGATATTTGCTGAATTGAAGTAATGATTGCAATATTTTGAATTAGTTTTTGATATCTGTAATTATTTGTTTTTTAAATTTTATTTTACTTTTGAAAAATTCCTTTTTCTTTTTCTGTTGTACCAACTCAGATTTTAAAACATGGGTTTATATTTCCAGCCCAAGCTCATATTAACAATAGCAGTTATGATAATAGTGACCTACATATAGTGAGTATTAAATATGCTTGGGCATTAAGCTGGGACTTCACCAACTTTTTCAGTTTATCATCTCAATAATACTATGATATAGATACAATTATGATCCCATTTGGTATGATTTACAGTGACAGAACATTTATATGATTTACAGTGACAGAACATTTATATGATTGCATTATTTAAAATGACAACATGAAATGTTAGTAGTTGGTAAATCATAAAAGATAAATTTTTCTTCAAGATTTGCATATTAGTTCTAGTATTTTATTTATTTTTAAAATAATTTCAACTTTTATATTCGGGGTACATGTGCAGGTTTGTTACATGGATATATTGTGTGATGTTGAAGTTTGGGGTACAGATCCTGTCACCCAGGTAGTAAGCATAATACCCAATAGATAGTTTTTCAACCCACAGTCCCCACTTCCTCCCCACTCTAGTAGTCCACAGTGTCTCTTGTTCCCATCTTTATGTCTGTATGTAGTCAATGTTTAGCTCCCACTGATAAATGACAACATGCAATATTTAGTTTGCTGTTCCTGCATTAATTTGTAGTATTCCATGATGTATATTACCACATTTTAAAAATCCAATCCACTGTTAATGGGGACCTAGGTTGATTCCATGTCTTTGCTATTGTGAATAGCATCGCAGTGAACATACGGGTACATGTGTCTTTTTGGTAGAATGATTTATTTTTCTTTGGGTGTATACCAATAATCAGATTGCTGGGTTGAATGGTAATTCTCTTTTAATTTCTTTGAGAAATCTCCAAACTGCTTTCCAGAGTGGCTGAAATAACCCACATTATATAAGCATTCCTTTTTGCAACCTCACCAGCATTTTTTATGTTTGACTTTTTAGTAATGGCCATTTTGACTCATGTGAGATGGTATCTTATTGTAGTTTTGATTTGCATTTATCTGATGGTTAGTGATGTCGAGCATTTTTTTCATGTTTGTTGGCTGCTTGTGTGTCTTCTTTTGAGAGGTGTTTATTCATGTCCTTTGCCCACTTTTTAGTGGCGTTATTTGCTCTTTGTTTATTGATTTGTTTAATTTCTTATAGAGTCTGGATATTAGACCTTGACAGATGCATAGTTTGAAAATATTGCATTCTGTAGGTTGTCTGTTTACTCTATTGATAATTTATTTTGCCATGAAAATGCTTTTTAGTTTAATTAAGTCCTATGTGTCGAGGTTCATAGAACTGATAAATAACTGCAGTAAAGTTTCAGGATACAAAATCACTATACAAAAATCAGTAGAACTTCTATACTCCAATATTGTTCAAGCTGAGTGAGCCCTCCTTATTCAGTTTTAATTCAAGGTCTTATAATCCACCATTCTTGGCAATGCTTGCCAAAGCTCTGTGGAGACAACTAATACTTGTTCTTGATAGATCAGGCCTAGGAAAAGTAGCATTGGATTGGGAAAAGTAAAGTGTGGAACATAAGTCTAGAGTGGAGAAGTTCTTTTTTTTTTTCTTTTCTGTATCCATGGCCTTTTCTCCCCTATTAATATGACTTTTCTTTTCACTTAAAGTACTTATTATGGAGAGCATTCCCCTTTTAGGAATTAAGATTATAAGGAGTATAGAGAATTTCAGCTATACCCTTTTTATCTCCATTTGTAGAGATATTGATGGCCAATATCCTGTATCTTCTAATTCAGTGTTTGCAAATTGTTTGAAATCCTAGGTTGTTCTTCAAACTTTCAGCCCCAGACAGTATAGCATTGTTTTGATAAAATTTATTTTAGGAAATGATATGATGGATATGGATTGTGGAGGACTGGCCATGTCACAAAGGCCTTAGGACACAACTATTAATCCTAAAACAATCATGCAGTTCAAATACTGGGATCCTCATTTTATTGATAATGTAATGGGCTCAGAAAGGTTAATTAACTTGCCCAAATGTATTCATCTCAAAAACAGCAAAGCCAGGTATCTCTAGTTCAAAGCCCATTTTTGTGTTTCTTTTGTTTTGCTTTTTTACTATATGTAACTTTTTCTCTTGTTATAAATTGTTTTCCTAAACTATCAAGGATGATTCTATATTACCCACGGAATCATTACTGTATTTGTGCTGGCTATAAGTGCATTTTATCTGGGATTTCTTTCATCATTTACTATTAGTTGGCATTTAAGTCATTTGTGTCTTGATGGAAACTTATTTTTTTATATCGGTTTTAGAGAATAATCTTTCTATCCCAAAGCATGTTTTTGTTTATTATTCGTGACTTAGCCAAGTGTGCTCATTCATGCTAGGACTGTGAACCCCAAATCTGAACAAACCTTACTAGCTAGAATATAGCTAATAAAATAATATATATACGGATTATGAAATTATTGTAATTGAAAACTTCATCAATCTAAGCTCTGTAATTTACTAATTTTGTGACTCAAGGCAATTTATTTAACCTTTTGGAGCCTGCATTTCGTTGTCTATAAAACTGGGATAATGACAGTAACGCATTTCTAAAGTTTTTTGGGGATCACATGAGATAATACATATAAACCACTTTGTACCATCCCTGACCCAGACTAAGTGCTTAATAAATCTTATAACCAGATTATACTTGCCTTGCGTGTGAATTGAATGATTATAGCAAAAATCCTAGATCTGGAAATATTGCCATTTTTTAGTAGTCATATTTCAGTAAAGAGTTATCAAGAGAGAACTCATCCTTTCCCATTCATTCTAGAAAGTGTTTAAGAAGTTTCTAATAAAATGTATCACATTTCCTCTTTAATTCTGATAGGATTGTTACAGTATTCTGGTTCTAGTCATTGTATGTGATGAAGCATACAATAATTCTTGTCAAGGCAAGAGGGGTATCTTAGTAGTTCAGTTGCTCAATAGCTGCAAGGCAAAACCTAATTTAACAGATCCGTCAATATAATATAAAGATTCATCTACAGGCCGGCGCGGTGGCTCACGCCTGTAATCCCAGCACTTCGGGAAGCCGAGGCGGGCGGATTGCGAGGTGAGGAGATTGAGACCATCTGGCTAATACGGTGAAACCCTATCTCTACTAAAAATACAAAAAATTAGCTGGGCTTAGTGGTGGGCGCCTGTAGTCCCAGCTACTCAGGAGGCTGAGGCAGGAGAATGGTGTGAACCCGGGAGGCGGAGCTTGCAGTGAGCTGAGATTGCGCCACTGCACTCCAGCCTGGGCGACAGAGCGAGACTCCGTCTCAAAAAAAAAAAAAAAAGAAAGAAAGATTCTTCTACAAATGTCTCTCTCTTTTAGGAGGATCATGTCCAAACTACTGACCAAAGGCTGGAAGGAACTGTATTGTGATGAATTGTTGTTGAAGTGATGGATGTACTCTGTCCCAAGTTCACAGAACATACACTAGTGGGCTGTAGCTTATTTTTCCAGTTATTTTAAAATATGTGTCCACCAGGTCAGCTAAGCTTTAGCAACTCAACGTTTTCTTGGCCACTTACTATTTATTATGTAACAAAAAGGGAGTTATGTCCAATCTCACAGGCAAACTGTTCAGAAGCCCAAAATAGTCATTATTATATCACTGAACTGGTACTGAAACCTACAAGGATTATGTAGTGTGCCAAAGCACTTTGCTTTTTCTCTCCTTATTGCACAGGTAAAGCTTTATCTGAAATAACTCCTTCAAAAGTAAAAAGGTCATTTGTTCCCTAGCTTTCCAGCAAGGTTCATGAGCTGACATAAAGTGTGAGAGTGTAAGAACACACTACCATCTGAGAGTCATCTTATAAAAGACTACTTTGCTTCTTTTTATGAAGTAGATCCCTTCCAGTTCTGTAGGGATCTAAAGTCTATTTTTGTAAATGAAATGATACAACTCCTGAATTAAGCTGTAATTCTATCTTCAGTGCTTTGTAGAAGTTAGTCTAGAGCCTGAATATGCTCAATCCAAGCCAAATAAGATTAAAATGTTACACATACACTGAAGTTATTTTGTTTTTTTACATATATAAATGGCTAATGGATTTATATTTCTGAGGTACAGTCTCTACAAATCCTCTTTAGTTTCACCCAAATAAAGATATGGACTCATCTTGATTCCTGGAGAAGTGATTCCAACAAAACAAATTTTGTTTTCATGGTTACTTTATACTCTTAAAAGCTATTGAGGACCTCTAAGAGCTTTTCTTTATATGGATTATACCTATTAATATTTACTGTAGGAATCAAAACAGAGGATTTTTTAGTATTAATTAATTGTTTTCTCCCCAAAGGAACGTGAGATGCCTAACCAAATAAGTAGGAGAGAGGCACCTGGGGTAGAAGAGGATAATAGGGACAGAGAACTGTAGGATTTATATTCTTAAATGATATTTCTATAGCATATGCATTTATTTTTCAATGTTTGTGTATATTTCTTTAATACTCTCACTGGCTACAATAGGCCCTGCTATGTTAGATTTTAAATTTAGTACGTATGCCCCATATACATGTGTATGTAACTTTTTAAAGAAAATTTAATTTCTTAGAAAAAGCAGTTTTCTACACAAATCAAGTACTCCTTGCAACACAAAGTGTCCCACTCATGTCCACATCCTCTTAGTCTGGCCTCGTACCCAGTCTCTCTTGGCCTCTTTCTTTATGCAGGAAATGTGACTACTGCTGAGATATCCTTTGCTACTTCCAGCTTTTTGAAGAGTCTAAACTCTTCCAACAAAACAGCTGGGATAGTCACTCTACAACTTACCCTGCCCTGAGAGTTGAGGGATCTATTTCTAGGTATTGGTCCTTCACCTATGTCACACTTTCCTGCAGCCTACTAGGCCACGCCTGTCTCTTTACCAAAGTATGACGTATTTTCTGCATATTGTCAAAAGCATAAATTATCCTGCTTTATCTTTAAAATGTTTTCAATTGAACTTAATATATTTGGAGCTAGTGTTGTAAAGTTACTAGTGATTCATCTACTAGAGGACAATGGCTGAAATTTATTGTACATTTTTCTTTAAGAACACAATTTCAAATTTAAAGATTGCAGGCATATGTCATATTTAATCCTGACACAAGAAACAAAGCACATTATAGCAGCTATCTTCAGTTTCTTTATCACTTGAAATATTGACACTCTAATTGTTACAAAACATACCTGTGAAATGGGAGGAAGGAACTGATAAAATCTGGACATTTTAGAAAAATCCATCATCATAGAATTCTCCATATTGGAATGGAAAAAATTAAACAAATCACATATGTTCTTCTTGTAAAATCTCATCATTTTATGCAAGTCACATTTTCTGAAGAAGGAGCAGTTTTGACCATGTTTCTCACACAGTCTTCAGCAGTTTACATGGTACCTCTACAAAGTGAAAACTAATAGATGTTCATAGACGTGTTCATGGATGAGGTTTTCATTATTTTAGCAAGTTCATTTTGAAATCATGTCTTTGCATAACATTCTATTTACAAGTGATCTAGTTCACAAATTTTAGATTTAAATCAGACTCATGGAATACCATAAAAATAAATGACTTGAACTGGATTGGCTGGAGTAATACTTTGAGTTCACATCAAACAATGTTCTAAACCTAAAATCTGTAGGTAAACCACTGCAGTGACCTATTAGTTGAGGAGTAGATATCGGTCAATTCTTGAGCAAGGCAGACTGAGGCAAAGTACCCTAAGGGAATTCACCACCTGAGACTAGGATCTTCAGGCCCACCCCTGTGTGGGGATTACAAGTGGAGGCCAATATTCCTTCTTTCTAAATATTTTAAAGTTATACATCAAGCTAGTAAACTTCTAAATAAAATATTTTATGTCATCCTGCCTTAATAGATATTCCCTTATACTCACCAAAATAAAGAAGAAATATGTGTAAAGCTATAGTTTTATGTTTTAGAGTTGGCATCATAGCAAAGATGATGGAATTTAATTACTCTGCCTATCTGAATGATGATTGGCCAGTAGTATTTGCATGAGTAATAAAATAAAGATATACATAATTCACAGTTACTAGAATTAGCAACTCAACTTTTTTTTGGCCACTTACTATTTATTATGTAACAAAAAGGGAGTTATTTTATTTTTTTATTCCATTAAATTTATTCCACTTATTTTATTCCATTATTGCATTAAATTTATTCCATTAAATTTATTTTTCTTCTTATCGTTTTGGCAAATCACTAATTATGTTGTTATAATCAACATCTTTCACATTATTTTGTTCCTTTGACAGTAACAGTTTAAACTATGATTGAAAAATAAACTGCAATTGCATTAAAAATATACCAAATATGGCTATGTTTTCAAAATTTTAAATCATGTGTAACAACTCATTAAAATTATTTTTCATATATATTTTCAAAAAAGTTTCCTTCTAAACTCATTTAAATTATTTATTAAAATTACAGGGCAAATACAACTTGTAGCTAATTAATATTTACAAATTTAATGAAATCTATAGAGCTGAATTTTCATTTAGTAATCTTAAAATTTAATTAAATCTCATTAAATATTTCCATAAAACTAAAACTATGCACAATACTAGTATTCGATGTCCATCTAGTTGCCAATCTAAAGAAATAATTTCATGCCACGTGCATGTTATGTCATATATTTATATTTAAGGGTAACATGAGCTGTTAATACTCTAAAATGTTCCTGAGCCACCATGTGATGTGAAACTTTTGTGAAGACCATGCTAATTTGTGGTACACAAAGAGAAGCAAGAAGGGGAATGCTCAGTGATATTGAGCAACAATGACTTGTTATATAAGACTCTATTGCATTTGTCCTAATGGAGAGAAAAGATTTGAAAGGGAATTAATATGTCTTTTCTCTTACTTAAGTAATTACATTACTCAAATCCTTCCCACACTCTGAAGCACATCTCTGTTCAATGTTGTCAACAGTACATGCCACAAACCTTCTTGGCATTTGAATGGAATCACCTTTTATTTTGAAGACACAGGGAAAGAAATGTGAATATTTTCCCTTGGGCAAATGGTGTTAGTCATGAGTTGGTTTGTGTTGTGTCATGAGTCAGGATGTGGCAATACTGCAACACTGCAACCCAAGTTACTGAGATACCCATGTGTTCTTTAACACATGTATTTGCAGACTTGAGAAATTCAAGGCCTCTAAGCATAGGGCTTCAGGCAGAGACCCTTCTTGTTTGTGTTTCTACGGGTAGTCCTAAAGATTTGTGTTAATATTACATGGTTGCTGTGACCACTACTTACAGATCCCTGATCTCATAATATGTTTTAAGATATACATTTATGTAGCTCTTGTGATTACTATCAAATGTGGCATCTTAAAAATATGAAATAACAGTATTACTTAATAATTTAGAACAAAAGGTGTGTCCTAAATTATGTTCTAGCTTTGTATCACTACTTGGTCTTAAAAGTGTCTATATTTGTATATATTTACGTATTTTGTTAAAATATGACAAGGCATTAAGAAGCTACATTAATTTGAAGAATTGTATAATTCCCAAATTTAAGAAAAACTAGCTTGTAATAGTGCAGCAAGATGAGTCATGGATATGCTATTAAAACTGAAATAGGAAATAAATAATTCTGCCAGCTCTTTCAAGTGAATACTTCAAATCTCTTGTTTGGTGCTGTAGGCATTATTAAAATATAGTTATAGTGGTTTTATACATTTTTGATCTCGATAAACAGTGGAAATGTTTTCTTGGGCTTTTATTTCATCTCTTCATCCAAAATAGTAATGAAAAAAATTGACATTAATATGAATCAAGACACTAACCAAAGTGAAAAGTTCTACTTTTGTTTAATAGTTCTATCATATCCCTGAAAAGATAAGACACAACAACTTAATTTTAGTGTTATCTACAAAATATACATAAGTAGATCCCACTAGAGAGCTTTATTTAGTAAAACTACTTTAGTCCCTTTCCCACCATTTCTGCACCTCTAATATAGAAAGTCTAGGTCACCTAAGAATTCACGAGGTAGTACTATCAGATAATATATACAAACGTTTGGTCATTTTCAAATGTTTTCACTTTGGCCAATTCACTATGTTCTAAAAGTTTAAGATTCAGCCCTTTAACCACAATAGATTTTCTATATTAGACTAACCATGTTTTATCAGTGAAAATAGCTTCATAATTCATTATGAGTGTAAAACACATACTATATAAAATGCATAGTAGAAAGTAGTGAAAATCATTTATAATTCTATCAGCCAGAGATAACCAGGGTTAATATTTCTCTGTATGTTATTCCAGGTTTAGATTTATACTAAAAATGTATTTTTTAGCCAAAATTGAGTCATACTGAATATGCTGTTTGTTAAACTGTTCTGGTGACAATGATAAATCATGTATAGTTTTTCATGCCCAATATATAGATTATATCATTTTTAATCTGTACAGTATTTATGTATATTATATATACCACATCATTTGATTATTGTTATTTATGATTTTTTTTACTATTGTAAACAACATTAAGATGAACTTTATTTGACCATTTTTTCTGTTGTTGTCTAATGATACATTCAAGAGATTTTATTGACTGCCTGTTGTGTTCTGGCCGCTCTTCTCAGTTCTAGGTGGCAGTGAATAAAGTAGACAGAAGTCATTGCTCTTATGTGGCATATGTTCTAGTGAAGATAACTAATAATAAACAAAATAAATGAGTGAACAAACATGTGGTTAGTACATAGTGATGTGTAATGTGGAGAAAAGGATGCATGGAAGGGTAACAGAAGTGTCAAAGGGTAGAGTTGCAATTGTAAATTGTAATCAGGATGGTCAGGAAGTGGAATTGTCGGATTGATGCATATCAAACCTTGTGAAACACCTTGGCTTATTATTTCTCGGAAGTCTTTTACCAATTATATTTCCACTAATAATGTATGAGAGTGTATTTTTCTCACATCATAAAAAATCACTTTAAAAATATAATTTTAATATGCAAAGTCCAAATATTTTAAAATGTGTATTGCTTGGTGATTTATGATGTTCTTTATTTTTTTGTGACTGTTGAACATTTGTGCATTTTTAATATATATTACCAGTTCATGTCATCTGCTCCATGTAGCCAATGCTGTAGATACCTTCCATTTGTCTGGAGGTGTACCATTTTATTGAGTTCCAGCCAACTTTCAGCATCTCTTTCCTTAAAGATATTCTCCAAAGCTACTCTGCCTTCTCACATAGTAAAACACAAGCACCCTGGAATGAACATTCCATAGGGGCTGCTTTGCAGCAATGGCAGGCAGGAGTTGGTGATAAAAACCTGTCTTCCTTAACCCTTGCATTTATATCTCTGAGGCCAGAGTTCTACACCATTTCCCCAAGTTTCCCTGTGGGATCAAACTGTTACCACCTGCAGTGGTAGCCGATATGATAAAGCTCCCTTTATTAGCGGTCTTTCTTCCCTTCACTATCTCACTTTCCCTCCCCTGCCATTGCTTACAGCACCTCCCACATAAATTACTCACATGTGAATTCTTTTCTTAGGGTCATCTTCTGGACACTAAACACCATTCTCAGTCAACAGTCATTCTACTTGTCCTTAACTGCTACAAACTTTTTCCATTATCAATAACATAATTTTGTCAGTTTCATAGCTTAAAGATATTTTTCTAGTTTGTCCTTTTTCAAAAGTAGTGTTTTCTTGGAGGGAATTTTTGCATTTTTGTTAGATCCAATGTATGTAATTGTTTTCTTTATGTTTTCTGGCTTTAGAGTCATTTTTTGAAAGCTCCCATTTAAAACATAAAAAATAAATTCTTTTGATGCCTTTTAGCACTTTATTGTTTTGTTTTATTTTATTTTACTTTCCATGTGGAATTTTGGTAGAAGAAGAGAGACGTAGAGTTTCAAGGTTTTTTTTTTTCTTCCATATTGATAGCTATTTGTTCCACTACTGTTCATTGAGATGTTACATTATATAAAGTCAAAACTAGTCTTTGGATATGTTGTTAAATAACAAAATTAGACAAATAAGGAAAACTAATTTATCTTTCTTTTCTCATTCTGTGCTGCTACGTGGTTCCCTAATACCTGAGTCTACAATGCCTTTAATACTTGCAATACCTCAGTCCCTAATACATAATACCTGCCTATAGAAGTGAATCTGATAGTATCTGTCTATCTATCTATCTATCTACCTATCTATCTATCTATCTATCATCTATCAATCATCTATCTACCTAATCACTTTGCTAATTTAGGTTACCTTATTACTAAGGTCTCTACTTTTGTTTACATATTTAAATTTAACTCCTACTGTTGAAAAAATTTCTATCTCCTGCTAAAGGTATATGAGGAATCACTGCATTATATTTGGACAAAAACTCCTCTCTTAGTACCCAGTAACTCATACCAAATGATGATGATTTTAGTCTATCTAAGTTTAAGGGCAACCTTAGTAACATTAGTAAACTGAGTTGTTGTGTAATCTACTTAGCTATGGCTAATCTCATCTTTGAAAATTTTCTTTTCTTTAAAACTTTTCATGTTCTTATGAAACTTCACTTATTGTCTATACCATTCATTAAGGTGTTAATGATAGAAGAATTTCTGCTACTTTTTTATGTGTATGTGTATTACTTCTCCCATGACCTACTGGTATCCTTTAGGGCATAATTTCATTTTATTTCTGATTATATCCCCAGTGTACAGTGCTAAGAATGAGGTAGGAAAATTATAATTTTTAGGTAAAAGATGTAAATTTAAAAGATTTAAAATCATGTTTTATAAAATATCATACATCATAATCTAATTAATCTATGGGTATCAAATTGTAGTACTTTTTTTTGTAAGAACATATACTAGCAAGTTTCTCTTTATTTTTTGAATCTTGAGGAGAGCACTCAATGGTCAGAGACAAAAAGGACTGATTTTAAAGGTGAAATCTCTTAATATAAGGAAAACAAGGTGCTTGATATTGTCCATAGTTTCATTGAATTTTCATTTTTCCCTTAAAGTTGTAAAATAGCTCTAAAATAAAGTGTATTTGTAGGACATGTTAGAGGACATGCTAGCACTTTTAACTGTCTTTTCTATGCTTTGCTTTCTTCGTTACAATGTGTAAATAGAAATATTTTTTATAAACTCCATAAAACTTTTATCATAAGTGATGTTTCACGGCCTTTAGATAAAAGCTTTCCTTTAGGCTTATGCAAATTTTTGATACTAGTATTACTATCAGAGTATCTGTTTAAGATTCTACAGCTGTTTTTATTATATGTCAGGCAGTGCAGTTACATTAATAAGCATTACCAAAAATTTCACTCAAGATATTTTTAGCATAACTATATTCACAATATGTATTTTCATATGGCAAGAATAATTTTCCATGAATTTACTAGGAATTATTAAAGACACTTCAAATGTATTTTATATTATGCAACATCCAATGTTTTCAAAAGTGTGGAAAAATCTTTTAAATAATGTGAACTTGTTTTTCATTTCTTGTTCATTTACTTTTCATATTCAAACTTCTCTTTTTTAGTTCATACAACCTTCATCAGTTTGCTCTTAACTATTTCTCATCTTTTACTATCCTGTCAACCATCTCCTATCTTCTTTGCTTTTATCATGTTATCTGTAAAGTGATAAAAGAGGGGAAAATGTGCTTTTGTTAGTTGGAAAATAAAGAACTTGTAACAAAGTCTGAAATGTAAGTTTATTTGATCAAAGTGTGTTATTCTGATGTTTAAATTTTTATTTTCAAACATCTGCATCATTTAGGTATTTAAGTTCAATTCAAATTCTACCTTGATGATATTAATTTTTAATGTTCCAGATAGCTTAATTAACAATGTAAGTTGTAGCAAAATAATTTATTTTGAAATCTCATGATTTTAAGTTTGGAGCTATTTTACACTCAAGATTGATTTTTATAATAACAGTTTAACCTGTTGATACTCTGAGGCTGAGCATTTGTCATAATCTTTTTCAACTGTAAGTTTTCTTCATATTTTTAGATTTAGAATTTTTTTTTTCAAATAAAGACATACAAACAATAATGTCTGCTTTGTATTGGGAAATTATACTGGTCTAACAGGAAAACTGGTCTAACACAGGTAGTCAAGAAACTTATTGATATGCAGGGTTTAAAAATTGAAATGATTTTAAGGCCTCTGTATCTCTACATTTTTAGGAAAAAGTGATGGGAGTGTCTTGTGCCTTTTGTATAGTCTTTTGCTTATATTCAGCAAGAATGTTTTACTATACTCACTGAAGGCTAAGCTCTGATTTTTTTTTTTAATCTTGCCCAAATTCCTATCTAAGGGGCCTGGGGAGCCATGCCCTACAAAGCATAAATTCTCATCAGATGGGCTTTATTTAACCCTATATATCGTGACTTACTTTCCAGTTTGACTCTGACATAACATTACTTGACAAAGAAGAAAATCAAAATATTTTACCTGAAAACATGTTTCTTCTCCATATTTTGAAATGGCCCTACAAAGCCATCTTTCGTGGGAGAAAATACGCACCTGTAAAGAATCTCTATTAACATAGCTGGATCTTATTCTTCTAGGCCCTCCCAATCCTGAAGAGATTAACTGAGAGTTTAGTACCTTTTAAAGGTCTGAATAGGAAACATGTGTCATCTATTGTCTCTAAGGGCAGCCACTTTGAGACTTCAAAAAACTTTGGTCTCCACAATCTTTTATCTCAGCCTGAACATTTCCTTTTTATTGATCCCAGGTCTTTAGACAAACTCGACCAATTGTCAACTAGAGAATGTTTAAATTTACCTATACCCTGGAAGCTCCTGCTTCAAGTTGTCTTGCCTTTCTAGACCAAACCAATGTATTTCTTAAATGTATTTGATTGATGTCTCATGCCTCCCTAAAATGTATAAAACCAAGCCTCACCCTGACCACCTTGGGCAGGTCCATGGTCACTCATATTTGGCTCAGAATAAATCTCTTCAAATATTTTACAGAGTTTGACTCTTTTCATCGACATCTATTTGGTCTTCTAGGATAGAGATCCCCAACTCCTGGGCCACGGACTGGTACTGGTCTCCCTGTTAGGAGACAGGCTGCATAGCAGGAGGTATGTGGCAGGCAAGTGAGCAAAGCTTCATCTGTATTTACAGCCACTCCCCACTGCTTGCATTACTGCCTGAGTTCTGCCTCCTGTCAGATCAGCGGTTGTGTTAGATTCTTGTGGGAGCATGAACCCTATTGTGAACTGTGCATGTGAGGGATCTGGGTTGCGTGCTCCTTATGAGAATCTAATGCCTAATGATCTGTCACTGTCTCCCATCACTCCAACATGGGACTGTCTAGTTGTGGGAAAACAAGCTCAGGGCTCCCACTGATTCTACATTATGGTAAGTTGTATAATTATTTCATTATATATCACAATTTAATAATAATAGAATTAAAGTGGATAATAAATGTAATGTGCTCGAATCATCCTGAAACCATGCCGTCCCCCCTGGTCTGTGGAAAACTTGTCTTCCATGAAACCGGTCCCTGGTGCCAAGAAGGTTGGGGATCGCTGCTCTAGGAGTAGCACACAAATTTAGATACAATTGAACTGGTCTGTTACAACCATTTTCAATTTCAAATGGTTACCTTGGTTAACTTCCTATCTCAAGACAGTGATCTGAATGTCTGCTCCAAACTACATACTGAAACATCTTTTAAGCTTCTTCACTCCCCATTGGTGGCCCATCCTCATCTGCAGGCAAAGCCCAGCAAATCCCTCTGCTGTTTTCAGCTTCTACTGGCTAGAGATTAATCTTCCAACTTTGATAATATATCTCTTTTACATACCTCTAAGGCCATCAATAAGTTAAAAAATCTTCAAGACTATTTTTTTGCCCTAAAAACAGCCTGTGACAGCTAAGACTATTTCAAATTAAAGCCAAAACAAGAACTAAAGAGAAAGAAATGTTTCAGAAAGCAGAGTGTTAAAGAATACCTGTTTTTCCCATTAAATGTTAATATTATTATAGAAACAAAATAACTTTTTCTTGAAGCATTTAACCTGGACTCTGGGTCCACAGGTCTACAAGGTGAAATAATTACCTGACTTATAGAAAAATACTACACATAATTAAGATAATAAATGTTATTGCTCTGTAGTAACAAGAATGGTCGGGATGCCTGGCAGATCAGCAGGATATACATCAGAAAGCATGTTTTTCCTGCTCCTATTCTTTCCTCAAAGCATTTTCTGACAATTAGTGAGGAGTTCTGTAATTACATCTAGCTTTTAGTGAAAAAAGAAGTCAAGTACCATGTTCTGAATTATCATCAGACAATTAGGGTTTGGTTCTATGTATGCAGCAAGTTTATAACCTGGATGTGTAGGATGGAAAGGAAAACCAGAATTTAGCTAATTAAAGTAATGGGAGCTTGACCTGAGTATTAAGACTTGTCTTTTCCAGAGAAGGAGATGCTGACAGTATAATACATTGTATTAATAACATCACCAATAATAATACAACTACAATAACAAGGACTACTTATTTTTTATTTCTAGTTATGAGTTTACTAAGTTTGTATACATTTCCTTGATCTGTCAACAGCATATAAGGAAGACATTATTACCCTTAATTTTGAGAAAATGAGTCCCATTGTCTCATAACCTCAGAAAACATAAATTATGTGTCCATGATCACTAAAAATGGTAAGAACAAAAACTGGAATTTGATTTATGATGTATCTGACTTCAAAGCCTATGTTCATTTTAGTAGTAATAAATTTCATTGTTGCTGAGAGAGTGTTCAGCATACCTTAAGCATAAGATCGATTCAAGTAAACACAAACACTGATAGTAAGTGGTCCAAACCTTTCAGGAAGTTAAGACAGGAAAAGATTTCTTTCTATAGGTACATTTATTCGTTCACTTATTCAGCAAATATCTGTTGAGCACCTTCTATTTACCAAGCTATTTTAAAGCCAGGTAGATACCAGCATTACAATTCTTTGAGATCTGCATATTGCAGCAGATTACTAGCCCACGACTGAGGGATGGGAGAGTAGTGGAAAGCACATGCTTCATCTAGATAGGACTGATGTTTAGCCACCACACACTGGGATGGCTTTACCTGTTGTTGAAATATGTCTATATCTGTTGAAAAGTGCCATTGTTGCAAGCTCACTTTACTCCAGGGCCTTTGCCACCCAGCCTTCCCCTAGGATTACTTCAGACCACGCCAGCAACTAAAGGGTTAATGCCTATCTTAAGTGGGGAGACTTTAGGACCCTGCTTTTTGCCTAAGCTATTATAAGTGGTCAGTCAGTGCCATTGCTGACCAAACTCTCAGATTAGCTCTTAGGTAACAACATGGGATCTCCCTCCTAGTAATGCCCAAGGGTCTTGCCTATCCCATGTTCCAGGGACCTCAGAGTGAACACCATTTAGACCCACACTGGCCCCTGCCAGCCTGCTGGACTACCAGATGGCTCACTGTAGCTCTTTGACTGGCCCATTCACACCTGTTTCCCTCTGCCCAGAACAGACCTAAATACCAAAAGGAAAGGTGGTATTCCTACAGACAGTGCTAGCATCTTGGCGGACAAATGCTTAGTGTCATTTTGGCCCCATGAGGTTGTGGCCACCCACCACTGCTTGGCCCGTCCCTTACCATCCTCAAATTGTGCTTGAGTAGACTGTAGCCCCTTTTGGGACCTTGACTCCAAGAAAGCAGATAGACAGATAGAGAATGGAGCAAACTGGAAGATAGGGGATAATGGGACAGCCTCAGGCAAAGACCAGGGACTGCTGAATCTCCTGGCAGGGTGGGGATTCTAGCAAAGGAGGAGGAAGCAGAGGATGGAGGTAGGCTGCAGTAGTAATATCAGGCCAGGAGGTGTTAGAAGTGCAAATTCTTGCTTTCAGCCTTCTCAGTTAAATATCATCTCTATTTAATTCACTACATGAAAGCAAGTCACAGGCATTAATAGCAGTGATATTAACAATAAATCCAGGATCAGACACAATTCTAAGACATTTGAGTCTTGCTCATTCAACAGGAAAGGAAACTGAAGCATTTGAGTGCTTATTTATAACTTAAATGGCAGAGCCAGAACTTTAACTCAAGCAGCCTGGCAACATGCCCATGCTCCCAACAAGCATTTATGCTACTTCTCATCTGACCAGAATGATTCATTTAATCCAATTAAATGTGAGATTCAGATTTATTATTGTTATGTTTTAGTGGGTGATAGAAAATTGAATATATAAGGAACTCAGACTTGGACTAGAAAATATTTACATGCCATTGCTATTTAGTTGAAGCTGAAAGAAGAGTCAGCACTATGAACAATGTTATTGATCTGAAGAGAAATTCTCTGCTTATCGAGACGCCTAATGACTATCCAGATGGCACCTAATAACTGTCAATTTAATGGTAGAAATTTAATGTCAGAAAAGTTTGGTGCAGTTCTCTATGTCAAATCATAGACTAGACAGAGGCATTACTTAGTGATGGCCACGTCAAACAAAATATTACACCAAATGTTTATAAAAATTAACAAATGATTTTGAAATTATTATAACTTACACTATAATGTATATCACTTACTAAGCAGTTGAAAACATTTTCTGTTAATTTACAGAATATAAATCAATAAACTTTATTAATAAACAGTATATGTATATATTGGTTCACATAAAGCATCAAAGCTTTTGGAATCTGTGAGTGCTTAGGGTGGGGAGTTAGAAAATGCTGATATGAATTATATGTATTGATGCATATGGGAATTTCCCAAAGGTCCTAATGTTCCTGGTTTCCATTATAGATCTATGTTCAGTTAACCTCAATGTATAATTCACACTTTATATAAAAGACTAATTTTTCAAAGTAATAGGATATATTACATTATTGATTTCCTTCATGAAATGAAAGAAGATATACTAAAAAAGAAAAATATTAAGTGGCCGCTTTGCAACCGTAATAAGACTGATAATGAGAAGATAACATGCAACTACATTGATATACAAATGGTGGATAGAGGACTAGATTTTCTTATAATAAATCCTACTTTCCTGCATATAGCCTTGCACTGTGTGCAAATAAAATTTGTTCCTAAGCAAAACTAAAAATTGCTATTTGTCATAGAACTTCAAGGACTCTCACAAATCTTCAAAACCACATATTTTAATTTTTGAAAGCCAAGTTAGGGTCTACTTAAACCAGCATAGAGCTTGTGATGGATTGCACATGGGAAGACTTAGAGCCCATGGTCTTCTCTAGTTGGAAAGAATCAGATCATTGAGCCCAATATTTATTTATAAAGATGAAGCAACTGAGTGAGAGTGATCTCTGGGCTCAAGGAGTGTGTTTGTGTCAGAGTTTGGACTGGAATTTATGTATAATGGAGATAACTTTTTGTAGTATACTGTGTTGTCTTTTCACTAAGTTAAATATAGGTGAGAAAACTAAACTATTTACAGTACTAATTTTTATCTCAGTGAAGTTTTAGAGGGAATCTATAAACAACCTATGCAGTTAGAACTAATTAAGTAAAACTGTAACTAATTTAACTACTGCAGAAGCCATGAAGTTGGCCAGAAAGGATTTGAAAGTGTCCTGAGAAGGATGTCTTCCACATTGCAGTTTGGTGGTAGGACATACCATCTGGCTAATTTCTCAGAGTCTGGAATGAAAGCAACAAAGGGTTGCCAACCCCCCATGATCATAAATGAGAATCTCTGACAATGCCTATTAATTATGTCATAAAATTCACTAAACAAGCCACATTCATATGCCACATGGCAAAGGTTAAAAGGCAGCTAGTGAAGTCTAAGATTCTGGATACAGTATTTGCAACTCTGATAGCCGCAGTCTCTTAGAATATCAATGGCAAAATAAAAAGCCTTCTTGATACTATTTTATGAACTCTATCTTTAAAATTCCAGCTTCACGTCCTTTATCTGAGGAACACCATAGAGCTTAACTAATCACATTGCTGTACTGCTGAATTCTTTTTTTTTTTTTTCAGCAAGATACTTTCTGCTCACCCTAGTCAGCAGCTGCCATGTAGCAGAGGCTTTTTGCCTTGTGAGTGGGGATTTTTTTTTTTAAACTGTAGCTATAAAAAACAATTGGCCATGCTCAGTTCTCCATCTGTCTTTTATGTCCCTCTGGATTACATAAAAAGGCAACAGTTTATTTATAACCTCCAAGTTATACTCTAAATAATATTTGATTAAGGCTAGTTTTTAAAGTTATCAGAGAAATTTCATAATTGTACGTTTAGAATATGAGAAAAAGCACATCTCAGCTTCCTTTAGCTTTCCCAGTACTGCTGAGCCATGCAATTTGCTTGTGCACTTTATCCAATTTTGAGCATGACATTGTGAAGGAAAAAATAACAGCATCCAAAATCTAGTGTTGTCACTGACAAAAGCTTTAATATCTCTTAAATCTGTGTTTGAGAAGAGGGAAGCAAGGTAACTTTACCTATCTTGACCAAAAGTTTAAAGTAAGGAGGCTTTAGAAAACTAGAATACTAAAGGATATGTTACTGGTCTGTTAATTATGCTCTGGTAAGTCACTTTGGTTGTTCTTAAAATGAAAGGATATTGAACATCATTGCACCTTTCCCAAGTGAGATCTGCCTGATTGAAAAATAGATCATGTTATGTTTCGGGTTCCCAAACTCCTGAAAATCAAATGTCCCCTAGTAGTTCCCATGAGTGGTTAGAGCCATGCGATGTTTGCTTGCCTTCTGATTCTTTCCATTTGGTATTAAAAGGTAGGACACGTCAAGTCATTGATCAAATAATAAAACATTCCTCCAGCACAACTTCCAGACAGTTTGTCACAAAAAATGATCCATTTGTTGAGTGTTCATCTGTTGCTTTTAAGGTTCTTATTTGTTTGGCTGGGGACTAACAAAAGGTAATTCATTTGTCAAAAGCAGTGACATGGGAGAGACAGAAGACTTATTTTCTCCATGAGTTCTTGTAACAATTTGTGTTTGGTTTTCTTTGAAAGGGAAAGAAACTAATGTATCCTGATGCTGTATGTGTTTGAGATGCTTTACAAACATTTTTTTTCATTTTATTGTCAAAAGAAATATGTCACTCAGGTACTTCTCTTAAATAATATATAAGCATGCCCATTTTAAAAGGAAAGGTTTTCCTAAAGCTCTATTTGTTTTTCATAGGTTTGTCAAAAGATCAAAGGTTACATCAAATAAGCATCACCCCCTCTTTAAATTTCATTCTCTTAAGTCACTGGACAGGTGGCAGGTGAACTTTGCCATATCAATTCAAGTCTAGACTTTCAGAATTTAAAATACTTGAGATTAGAAAGATTGAAAATCATGTTTAAAAGACATTCATCTCCTTCTTTGAGGTAAATTTACTATAACTTATTTCCTGGTGATTCCCAGTTTGTAAGGCCCAGTTTGTAGGCTATAGGTATTGTTGGAAAAGTAACTATGCCCAAAAATAAGGTGAATTTTACCAAAATTCTCTTTATAATAAAAGAATCTCAAATTCTCTTATAATATCAGACACTCGTAATATAAAGTCCCTTTTGGAAATGACACAATAAGACAACTTCAATCACTGCTAGATATGTATGCTTATAGAAGTAAACTGAAAGAGTTCTTTAAACAAAGAAGGAAATTAGTTTAAAGTCAATTTAATATTAATAAGTATGTCTGGATATATAGCCTCACAACTGTATATTTAATGTTGTTGCAAATAAGCCCTTTAAAGTAACTTACAGAGCTAAAGAGTTAAATGGTTGTATTTTGGAGATTACTTATATATGCAGAATAAATGAAATAAAACTATTGTTCTATGATGCCATAAGAGTATCAAAATCTGTTTCAAAAATGCTGTACTTAAACTACTTAGGTGGAAATTAAGATGATATGCATCAGGAAACTGCTATATGACTAAAATGTGACTGTACAAAGAGGAAGTTATTAATGCCTAAATGCATGTATAGAGTTTGTTTCATTGAATGTGAGAGCAGCACCAAAGAATTTCTCCATAATAATTTAAATAGCCTGTTAGAAAATGGAGATAATTTTGGCAATATCTTTAAAAGGTTGTTCACTGAAATTGAACAACCTCTTTTTAAAAATTTTTCCATTAAAATTTCTACTAGATTAAAAGCTCCATGAGGTTACATTCTAGTATTTCTGGCATATAATATGCATTCAGTAAATGTCTGTTATATAATGAATAAGGAGTTATTTTTAGCAGTTCCATGAAAAAATATATAATTATTCCAAGGAAAAATACATAATCACATGATTGATTGATTCATTCATTCATCAGATATTTATTAGTATTCTGGTCTAGGCATTTTTCAAAGTCGTGGTTAATATTGCTTTACTACTGAAAAGTTCCAGAGCTCTTCAGCTCTTTTGAATTTATTTGGCAATTGTTCTCTAAGGCTTAATTTTCTTTTTTTGTTTTGATTATTTTTTTCTAAAATTTCAGTTTACATATTCCATTGCAGTCTAACATATAAACGTGTAAGAAAAGTTAATATATAACATGAATTTTCTTATATTTTATTGGTTGTGTGATATTTTCAATAAGTTCAGCAATTCAAAAATGGAGAATTAACGTTGTGCCTACGTGAATTGTTTATAACTAAAATCAGTAAAATAATTATGTTACATTCAGTAAAACAACTTAAAATTTTACCATGATCTTTATGAAAACAAGTTATATGCTGCTTTGATTTTTCTAGAAAATGATTTAACATTAGATAGAATGTGCATTAAATATTTTCACTTCCTTGGTCCTGAGAAGTTGATATAATATGTAAATATTTCTATCAGATTTGTTATAAATAATATTTATAGATCAAAATTCATGGCAAAGTACATTTTATATTTTTTACCAAATGTTATTTATCATAAATGCTATCAATAGTACTTCCTAAACCTTAAATATGTCAATGTTTATCACAGAATATGTGATACTAAAAATATTAGTATATTTTCAGTTTATAAAGCATATTCATTTCATAAAGCATGTTTAATGGCATATACTACATATAAAATGTATGAATTATGAGGTTTATTGATGTTAATGTAGACAAAATAATATATTACATGGGAGCATTTTATTTTTATTTTTATATTTATCTGCAGTTTCCATCTTCCTATAAAACACTCTACAAATAGGTCTAATGTATTTTCTTTGGATCTGTTTATGTTGCATAGTAAAAGTCACAAGCAAGTCACTTTCATTTGTCATTATTGCCAATACAATAATTTGGAGAGAAAACAACTTTATGATTTATTGGTTAGAGCATAATAAGTTAAATGCCAAATAAACCATGGAGAATAAAGAATAGGTGTTATTATTTTATGCATGTAATCATGCTTTGATCAAAAACAACTATGCTTACAACTTTCTTATGTCATATTTGCTCCAGGTATTGATGACAGTGAACTATCAAATAAAGAGATAAGGGAAGAGATATTTAGTAGGCATTATTTCATCTTTTAGCAAACACTTCTTAGGAGAAAAATAAGAAATAAAGCAATATAAAATATTGTTTAAAAGACATCAATGAATTTCCTTTTTTATTATAGTACTATATATTTGTATGTATGTTCAATTTTTTTTTCATTTTTTTCCATTTGGACATACAAAAGTTGAAAGAAGTGAGTTTTAGGTTTTAAAAAAATCTGTGTATAACTGCTCTGCTGTCATGGTCTTTGATAAAGTGAAATAATAAAAGTTATAATGAATTCAAAAATTAGCTAAAATTATATTCTATATCTTTGATATTGGTTACAACATGTTCTGCTTCAGACACAATAGAAATAACTAAAATAGAACTGATAGATATGAATGTTCATATATGTCTGTGTGGGTATGTTTATATATATGCATGAGTATACATAAGTGCTATGATGTATCATTAATGTTGAAGGATTGATTCATATGATTAATGCATATTATAAGTAGAATTATTTTATTTTTAATTATTTTCTGATAATATAAATATGGCCTATTTGTGTATGTTGATTTTAAATTTTACAGTCTAACTAAATTAACTTCTTAGTTCTAGCAGTTACATTGTATATTCCTTAGGTTTTTTACATTGATAATAATGTGTGCTAAAAGAGAAGTTTTGCCTCTTGCTTTAAATATTGTGTAGCTTTTATTTCTTTTATCTTTCTTTGTTGTCCTGGCTATCATGTCTAGCACAATATCAAATAGAAAGGGTGAGAGCTTTGCCTTTCCCCCAATTTTAGAGAGAAAGATGCTAATATTTTACTTTATTTATTGAAAGTAGGTTTCACATAGACATTATATATTCATTATAAGATTACTTCTTTTATAAAACTGTATTCTTTTGTTCCTCATAATTCTTTATCTTGCAGGATATGTAGTCTATGTTTATGCCTAACCTTGTTTTTAACCTATTTTCTTGACTGTGTCTCTTTTTTCCCACCCATCCTTTGACTATATCTGTATCTAAATTTTACTATTTATTCTCTGTTTTTTTGACTTAAACATGTGTTTTGAAACGTATCTAAATCTTTAATTTTCAATATGAAAGTTTAACAATTTTATATGTGTTGTATTTAATATATTATAAATTTTTTGTTTATATTTACTTCTTCATGTTCTTTTACCTTTTGAATATTTTTGTGTTTGTTTGGCTCTTTTATTTTCTAAGTTAGAGTTTTGAATGCCGTATATCCTGTTTTTCAATCTACTAGTTTTAACATTAACTATTTGAACATGAAAACACTTGAATCCATATTTGTCAAATTATCAATATCAATATGAAATCATATGATTTATCTCCCTTATTAAAGGTTAAAAATTATTGACTCATTTTAAATATTTATTAAGTAATTCCTTATTGTAGAGAATGTTCACTTTTCTGTACCAATTTTTGGCTTGTAAATTAATTAGTCCTTTAAAGTTAGGTTATTTTCAAACTTAAAAAAATATATATGTAATATAGCATCACTTCTTTCAACAATGCATTTTGACTTTGGCATTCAGTTTTGCAATTACAGACTTATTTATGATTTCATTTTAAGTAATTTAAATGCTGATCATTGTTCCTTTGAAACCACAGTTTCAACTCTAGTTCTTCTCTTGGAAGTGTGTTCATTTACTCAGTGAAGTTATTTGGCCAATAAACTTTCTGGGCACATTCTATATAAACATGCCTTTCTACTGGTGTCACATGTCAATGGCAAGCTCATCTTTAGATTTCCTACTAAGCCCATAGTAAACCCTAAATAACCATTTTTTATTTTTACATTATATTTATCTCTTGTACTATATAATTAACATGTTAACAAAAAATGAACCTATCTCATACGGTTGCTACAAAATGTTAAATAAGTTACTATATGTGAATATTAGAGCTCCTGGCGTAGAATAAAGGCTAAATAGTTATTAACTTCCATTATTATTGTTATCATTACTATTATTTATTGTTATTGTTAGTTTTATTTTTATTATTATCATCATCATATTCCCAAATGGTTCCTTTTGGGAACCAATAATTGATAGGGATTTAAAGAATATAGATTATGTGTATAATCACTAAACGCATGTTTTCCCAAATTCGCTGTCACAGAAGAAACCCTTAAAAATTCTGGAAAAACTTTGGAATAATTTGCAATGTTCAATATTATATATTTATAAATGTTTGTATTCCTTTCAACCGTAATATGTAGCTATGCTTTGTTTAAACCATTTTAATTCATTAAATATCAAAGAATTCTACAATTTTGTCTTAAGACTTTTGAAGTTCTTACGTGAATCAGTTTTTTTTTTTTAATTTATTTTTTTAAATTATACTTTAAGTTTTAGGGTACATGTGCACATTGTGCAGGTTAGTTACATACGTATACATGTGCCATGCTGGTGTGCTGCACCCACTAACTCGTCACCTAGCATTAGGTATATCTCCCAATGCCATCCCTCCCCCCTCCACCCACCCCACAACAGTCCCCAGAGTGTGATGTTCCCCTTCCTGTGTCCATGTGATCTCATTGTTCAATTCCCACCTATGAGTGAGAATATGCGGTGTTCGGGTTTTGTTCTTGCGATAGTTTACTGAGAATGATGATTTCCAATTTCATCCATGTCCCTACAAAGGACATGAACTCATCATTTTTTATGGCTGCATAGTATTCCATGGTGTATATGTGCCACATTTTCTTAAGCCAGTCTATCATTGTTGGACATTTGGGTTGGTTCCAAGTCTTTGCTATTGTGAATAATGCCGCAATAAACATACGTGTGCGTGTGTCTTTATAGCAGCATGATTTATAGTCCTTTGGGTATATACCCAGTAATGGGATGGCCGGGTCAAATGGTATTTCTAGTTCTAGATCCCTGAGGAATCGCCACACTGACTTCCACAATGGTTGAACTAGTTTACAGTCCCACCAACAGTGTAAAAGTGTTCCTATTTCTCCACATCCTCTCCAGCACCTGTTGTTTCCTGACTTTTTAATGATTGCCATTCTAACTGGTGTGAGATGGTATCTCATTGTGGTTTTGATTTGCATTTCCCTGATGGCCAGTGATGGTGAGCATTTTTTCATGTGTTTTTTGGCTGCATAAATGTCTTCTTTTGAGAAGTGTCTGTTCATGTCCTTCGCCCACTTTTTGATGGGGTTGTTTGTTTTTTTCTTGTAAATTTGTTTGAGTTCATTGTAGATTCTGGATATTAGCCCTTTGTCAGATGAGTAGGTTGCAAAAATTTTCTCCCATTTTGTAGGTTGCCTGTTCACTCTGATGGTAGTTTCTTTTGCTGCGCAGAAGCTCTTTAGTTTAATGAGATCCCATTTGTCAATTTTGTCTTTTGTTGCCATAGCTTTTGGTGTTTTAGACATGAAGTCCTTGCCCATGCCTATGTCCTGAATGGTAATGCCTAGGTTTTCTTCTAGAGTTTTTATGGTTTTAGGTCTAATGTTTAAGTCTTTAATCCATCTTGAATTGATTTTTGTATAAGGTGTAAGGAAGGGATCCAGTTTCAGCTTTCTACATATGGCTAGCCAGTTTTCCCAGTACCATTTATTAAATAGGGAATCCTTTCCCCATTGCTTGTTTTTGTCAGGTTTGTCAAAGATCAGATAGTTGTAGATATGCAGTGTTATTTCTGAGGGCTCTGTTCTGTTCCATTGATCTATATCTCTGTTTTGGTACCAGTACCATGCTGTTTTGGTTACTGTAGCCTTGTAGTATAGTTTGAAGTCAGGTAGTGTGATGGCTTCAGCTTTGTTCTTTTGGCTTAGGATTGACTTGGCGATGCGGGCTCTTTTTTGGTTCCATATGAACTTTAAAGTAGTTTTTTCCAATTCTGTGAAGAAAGTCATTGGTAGCTTGATGGGGATGGCATTGAATCTGTAAATTACCTTGGGCAGTATGGCCATTTTCACGATATTGATTCTTCCTACCCATGAGCATGGAATATTCTTCCATTTGTTTGTATCCTCTTCTATTTCCTTGAGCAGCAGTTTGTAGTTCTCCTTGAAGAGGTCCTTCACATCCCTTGTAAGTTGGATTCCTAGGTATTTTATTCTCTTTGAAGCAATTGTGAATGGGAGTTCACTCATGATTTGGCTCTCTGTTTGTTTGTTGTTGGTGTATAGGAATGCTTGTGATTTTTGCACATTGATTTTGTATCCTGAGACTTTGCTGAAGTTGCTTATCAGCTTAAGGAGATTTTGGGCTGAGACGATGGAGTTTTCTAGATATACAATCATGTCATCAGCAAACAGGGACAATTTGACTTCCTCTTTTCCTAATTGAATACCCTTTATTTCCTTCTCCTGCCTAATTGCCCTGGCCAGAACTTCCAACACTATGTTGAATAGGAGTTGTGAGAGAGGGCATCCCTGTCTTGTGCCAGTTTTCAAAGGGAATGCTTCCAGTTTTTGCCCATTCAGTATGATATTGGCTGTGGGTTTGTCATAGATAGCTCTTATTATTTTGAAATATGTCCCATCAATACTTAATTTACTGAGAGTTTTTAGCATGAAGCATTGTTGAATTTTGTCAAAGGCCTTTTCTGCATCTATTGAGATAATCATGTGGTTTTTGTCTTTGGCTCTGTTTATATGCTGGATTACATTTATTGATTTGCATATATTGAACCAGCCTTGCATCCCAGGGATGAAGCCCACTCGATCATGGTGGATAAGCTTTTTGATGTGCTGCTGGATTCGGTTTGCCAGTATTTTATTGAGGATTTTTGCATCAATGTTCATCAAGGATATTGTTCTAAAATTCTCTTTTTTGGTTTTGTCTCTGCCCGGCTTTGGTATCAGGATGATGCTGGCCTCATAAAATGAGTTAGGGAGGATTCCCTCTTTTTCTATTGATTGGAATAGGTTCAGAAGGAATGGTACCGGTTCCTCCTTATACCTCTGGTAGAATTCGGCTGTGAATCCATCTGGTCCTGGACTCTTTTTGGTTGGTAAGCTATTGATTATTGCCACAATTTCAGATCCTGTTATTGGTCTATTCAGAGATTCAACTTCTTCCTGGTTTAGTCTTGGGAGAGTGTATGTATCAAGGAATTTATCCATTTCTTCTAGATTTTCTAGTTTATTTTCGTAGAGGTGTTTGTAGTTTTCTCTGATGGTAGTTTGTATTTCTGTGGGATTGGTGGTAATATCCCCTTTATCATTTTTTATTGCATCTATTTGATTCTTCTCTCTTTTTTTCTTTATTAGTCTTGCTAGCAGTCTATCAATTTTGTTGATCCTTTCAAAAAACCAGCTCCTGGATTCATTAATTTTTTGAAGGGTTTTTTGTGTCTCTATTTCCTTCAGTTCTGCTCGGATTTTAGTTATTTCTTGCCTTCTGCTAGCTTTTGAATGTGTTTGCTCTTGCTTTTCTAGTTCTTTTAATTGTGATGTTAGGGTGTCAATTTTGGATCTTTCCTGCTTTCTCTTGTGGGCATTTAATGCTATAAATTTCCCTCTACACACTGCTTTGAATGTGTCCCAGAGATTCTGGTATGTTGTATCTTTGTTCTCGTTGGTTTCAAAGAACATCTTTATTTCTGCCTTCATTTCGTTATGTACCCAGTAGTCATTCAGGAGCAGGTTGTTCAGTTTCCATGTAGTTGAGCGGTTTTGAGTGAGATTCTTAATCCTGAGTTCTAGTTTGATTGCACTGTGGTCTGAGAGATAGTTTGTTATAATGTCTGTTCTTTTACATTTGCTGAGGAGAGCTTTACTTCCAAGTATGTGGTCAATTTTGGAATAGGTGTGATGTGGTGCTGAAAAAAATGTATATTCTGTTGATTTGGGGTGGAGAGTTCTGTAGATGTCTATTAGGTCCACTTGGTGCAGAGCTGAGTTCAATTCCTGGGTGTCCTTGTTGACTTTCTGTCTCGTTGATCTGTCTAATGTTGACAGTGGGGTGTTAAAGTCTCCCATTGTTAATGTGTGGGAGTCTAAGTCTCTTTGTCGGTCACTCAGGACTTGCCGTATGAATCTGGGTGCTCCTGTATTGGGTGCATATATATTTAGGATAGTTAGCTCTTCTTGTTGAATTGATCCCTTTACCATTATGTAATGGCCTTCTTTGTCTCTTTCGATCTTTGTTGGTTTAAAGTCTGTTTTATCAGAGACTATGATTGCAACCCCTGCCTTTTTTTGTTTTCCATTTGCTTCGTAGATCTTCCTCCATCCCTTTATTTTGAGCCTATATGTGTCTCTGCACGTGAGACGGGTTTCCTGAATACAGCACACTGATGGGTCTTGACTCTTTATCCAATTTGCCAGTCTGTGTCTTTTAATTGGAGCATTTAGTCCATTTACATTTAAAGTTAATAGGGTTATGTGTGAATTTGATCCTGTCATTATGATGTTAGCTGGTTATTTTGCTCGTTAGTTGATGCAGTTTCTTCCTAGTCTCAATGGTCTTTACATTTTGGCATGATTTTGCAGCAGCTAGTACCAGTTGTTCCTTTCCATGTTTAGCGCTTCCTTCAGGAGCTCTTTTAGGGCAGGCCTAGTGGTGACAAAATCTCTCAGCCTTTGCTTCTCTGTAAAGTATTTTATTTCTCCTTCACTTATGAAGCTTAGTTTGGCTGGATATGAAATTCTGGGTTGAAAATTCTTTTCTTTAAGAATGTTGAATATTGGTCCCCACTCTCTTCTGGCTTGTAGGGTTTCTGCTGAGAGATCCGCTGTTAGTCTGATGGGCTTCCCTTTGAGGGTAACCCGACCTTTCTCTCTGGCTGCCCTTAACATTTTTTCCTTCATTTCAACTTTGGTGAATCTGACAATTATGTGTCTTGGAGTTGCTCTTCTGGAGGAGTATCTTTGTGGCGTTCTCTGTATTTCCTGAATCTGAACATTGGCCTGCCTTGGTAGATTGGGGAAATTCTCCTGGATAATATCCTGCAGAGTGTTTTCCAACTTGGTTCCATTCTCCCCATCACTTTCAGGTACACCAATCAGACGTAGATTTGGTCTTTTCACATAGTCCCATATTTCTTGGAGGCTTTGCTCATTTCTTTTTATTCTTTTTTCTCTAAACTTTCCTTCTCACTTCATTTCATTCATTTCATCTTCCATTGCTGATACCCTTTCTTCCAGTTGATTGCATCGGCTCCTGAGGCTTCTGCATTCTTCACCTAGTTCTCGAGCCTTGGTTTTCAGCTCCATCAGCTCCTTTAAGCACTTCTCTGTATTGGTTATTCTAGTTATACATTCTTCTAAATTTTTTTCAAAGTTTTCAACTTCTTTGCCTTTGGTTTGAATGTCCTCCCGTAGCTCAGAGTAATTTGATCGTCTGAAGCCTTCTTCTCTCAGCTCGTCAAAGTCATTCTCTGTCCAGCTTTGTTCTGTTGCAGGTGAGGAGCTGCCTTCCTTTGGAGGAGGAGAGGAGCTCTGATTTTTAGTTTCCAGTTTTTCTGTTCTGTTTTTTCCCCATCTTTGTGGTTTTATCTACTTTTGGTCTTTGATGATGGTGATGTACAGATGGGTTTTTGGTGTGGATGTCCTTTCTGTTTGTTAGTTTTCCTTCTAACAGACAGGACCCTCAGCTGCAGGTCTGTTGGAGTACCCTGAAGTGTGAGGTGTCAGTGTGCCCCTGCTGGAGGGTGCCTCCCAGTTAGGGTGCTCGGGGGTCAGGGGTCAGGGACCCACTTGAGGAGGCAGTCTGCCCGTTCTCAGATCTCCAGCTGTGTACTGGGAGAACCCCTGCTCTCTTCAAAGCTGTCAGACAGGGACATTTAAGTCTGCAGAGGTTACTGCGGTCTTTTTGTTTGTCTGTGCCCTGCCCCCAGAGGTGGAGCCTAGAGAGGCACGCAGGCCTCCTTGAGCTGTGGTGGGCTCCACCCAGTTCGAGCTTCCTGGCTGCTTTGTTTACCTAAGCAAGCCTGGGCAATGGTGGGCGCCCCTCCCCCAGCCTGGCTGCTGCCTTGCAGTTTGATCTCAGACTGCTGTGCTAGCAATCAGCGAGACTCCGTGGGGTAGGACCCTCAGAGCCAGGTGCGGGGTATAATCTCGTGGTGCGCCGTTTTTTAAGCCCGTCGGAAAAGCGCAGTATTCGGGTGGGAGTGACCCGATTTTCCAGGTGCTGTCCGTCACCCCTTTCTTTGATTAGGAAAGGAACTCCCTGACCCCTTGCGCTTCCCGAGTGAGGCAATGCCTCGCCCTGCTTCGGCTCGCGCACGGTGCGCGCACCCACTGACCTGCGCCCACTGTCTGGCACTCCCTAGTGAGATGAACCCGGTACCTCAGATGGAAATGCAGAAATCACCCGTCTTCTGCGTCGCTCAGGCTGGGAGCTGTAGACTGGAGCTGTTCCTTTTCGGCCATCTTGGCGCCTCCCTCAGGTGAATCAGTTTTATTTTAAATATCTTTTTATGTTTCATTTATAAACAAATGAAATTTGAATTAAATTTCATTACTTTATTGAGTATGTTTTCATTTTTCCCTGGAATTGCCACATTAATATAGGGACATATAATTTTCTCTTGGCAGCTTGTTTGTAGCAAACAATATTCCAACTTTTTAATTTGTATATTTAATTAAGTCAATAAAAACTGAAAAATTAATAAAACGTTAAAGTTTTGTATTTGACACTTAGAAGCATCAAAGACTGTCATCCAATGGCAAGTCCTTCTATAAGTTTTAGATCAATTCAATTATTATATTATTATAAGAATGTAAATGGCAGAGAAACTAAAACAACTGATGTGTGTATACATATATACACATGTACATATACACATGCATGCATATTGTAACATGGTTGATAATATTTTCTTATATATTTGGGAGAAATATCTATCTCTGTCTATCTATTGATCTACCTACCTACCTACCTACCTGCCATCTATCTACCATCTTTCCATCCCCCTTCTAAATATAATTAGAACAGTGCATGGCATATAATAAGCATCCAATTGAATTGTTGTTGAATGAATAATTGATAATGTCTGAGGTCATGTTAATAAGCTTCTAATTATAGGATATAAGCTTACTTACCTTATTCTGATCACTTCAACATTTTAGCACCATATTATTGATGGAGAAATTAGTTCTATTTCCACTTCCCTTCCTGGTCTTGGTCACATTGAAAATACATTCTGTATCTCACTGCAGTCTCATATTGTCATTCTTTAGCATGGTGGCTGGTACAGTATTTTTTGTTGGCTCATATTAATTATGAATGTATAAAGCATATTGATATCTGTGAGTCAATAAATGTGTTACATTCTTTTTGAAAACTGCATTTGGTGTATATGTACATTACATTTCAGAGCAAGAACTCAGGATTATAAAAAAAGGTATTTTATTGAAACATGTAAGGCATAAAGTCATTATTAGGTATTAGAATTTCTTCTCACATTATGAGTAAATAGTGATACTAATTGATGATTTTATTAGATTTTTTATTATTATGAACATTAACAGACATTTAGTCTTTATTGCAGCTTGATAGTTTTTCCTTGTAAAACATAGCTGTGATCTATTTTACTTTTCCCATGCCAGTGGGAAGCTCAGAAATAAAAAAAAAAAAAACCAATAAGCTTGTTAAAATTTGTGTGAAATTTTAGTAAACCTAAAAACAAAAAAATCTATTATTACTTGTATATTTTAAGTTTGATAGTGATTTTAAGGATGAAATGGAGTTTATTGCCATAAAAAGGATAACTTACTTTTAACTTTAACCTTTTTTGAAGGTATCAATAAGGAAAGAGAGATTTTATTCTTCCTAAATGCCTAGATTAAGGAGTATTTTAATGTTTATCTCTTTTGAATATAGACTAAATCTATGTGATATACTTTATTAATGTATTCTGATTTGGGAATGTGTTTTTGCATGTGATGGACAAGCATCTATTATTCAAGATAAGCTTTTTCTAACTGTTTTTGTCTTTCATTAAAACATTTAATCTATCTTTTCTTATTTCTATTATAAATTGAGAGATAGAAAAGAAAAAAGTAGTCTACTTTTTGCACAGCACATACCCTTGCATTGTCAAAAATGTCACAGGTTAATGGTACTGCTCAGCTCCATTTATCTTATTCTGACAACTCAACAACCTAGCACAATCTAACAAAAACATTCTTGCTAGACCAGGTGACATTCTCAGGCTTTGTTCCTTTAATATGGTGGCTGTGAGAGCATTTAGTGTGTAATAACTTTGTACAAAATTTTGCTTTAGGTGTCTTCAATATTTTCCATTAAGGGCAAGTGCTTTTAGAATTTCAAATCACTCATCAAATACAAATTCACAGAGTTCTGTTTTACTTTCAACTAACCTGATGATTATCTAAAACTACAGAGATCTTGAAAATTTGTATCAGTTGAGAGCTATAAAAATTACAGAATATATTCTTAATTCTCAAGCTTTTTGTTTGCATGAACCCAATATTTTTTAATGTTGAAAAAGCTAATTTTAACTTCAGAATTGTTACGAAGTCTTGTAAGCATTGTCCAAGTCATTTGGTAAATGATTCTAAGTGTCTGAGGAATATTTTTGCACTGTGTTGATGGAAATTTAAACAAGTTATGACACTTGAATATTTCTAAACTAATTTCTTTCTTCTGAATTTAATATTGAATAATGTCTTGCCTTCTTTGTCAAGGAAATAATAACATTAAGATAGTGGTTCTGTAATACTTTTCTTCTCTATTTGTAATTGCTTATCCTTGATAGAATCTTTTTCCCAATGTAATAGAAAATCAATTCTTTAAAAAGGAAAGCAGTGTCTGGTTTCAGAAACAATATGTACATAAATGTGTGTGTGTGTCTTGTTATCATTTTCAGAGTAGTTTTTAAAATACTTTAAGACTATAGTTCAAAAAGTCTTTGCTTCTTATCTGATCACAGAACCACAAACATTTTATCACTTTCTGCATTCATTGCTTTATATAGTCCATTTTATAAATGTTTTCATGTTTTATTTTTCATATGAATCATGTAGTCTATTAACTGGAGAAATTGCATTTCTGAATCAGTTATTACATAATATTATTCTTTGTTGTATTTTAAATGATTTTTTAGATTAAAAAAACAAACATGAGAAGCCACCTTGAGATTGACTACCTCCTTTAATAGAGCACTCTGTCTTATCTATAATATTTTTACAATACACTTAATTTAATTGTTTTGATATTTCTGCTTTCAATCCATTTGTTTTATGTAGAAAGCTAATATTTATTTTTGCTAAAGGAAGAATGTGTTTTTCAAAATCTGAATTTCAGATTAATCTTCTGATAAGATGTGTGAGATGCAATGTGTTTTAAATGTATACATAAATAACAGATGCTAAAATTATTTTCTATGATTAACAATAAATATCAGAAGAATATAACATTAAGCTAAGAAGTGGAGTCAGTTTTCAGAATACTTTATAGTAATTTATTTTGTTTAAAAAAATTGATCTGATTTCATCTTTGCTACATTGTATGTAATAGTGCTTTTTAATATAATGGAAGTTGGAAGACAGTAGCTAAAATTGCTTCAAGTATACTTTTAAAACAAAAAGTATATTAAAAATAACCACAATTGTTTTGTTTCAAAATTAATAATAACTCTAGGAAATTAATAAAACAAAGCAAATAGAGCCCTTGGACTTTCATCTTTTTGGTAAATCTAAGCATTATTTTGTAGTTCCACAGCAAAATTTGCATATCCTACTGCATCATCATTTTGTGTTTTTAAAATTAGGCAATGAGTCCCATTATTATTTTGCACTGATAAACTTAATTAGTTTTGTCTGAAAGCTGCTCACATATTTATATGGATTATAAACCTAACAGCTGGTGCTTAATACATGGATAATTGTTAATTTATTTAATAACAACTCAATGTCAGGAAAGATTGGTTTCTTGTCTGATTAACAGTTTGATATTGTCTATGGAATAATGGGCATATCAGTTTCACATGGAGCTTTCCAAGGTTTCTGTGCCTTTGCAAATTCTATTTCACTTACAAAATTTCCATTATCTTGGCCATGTTAGTGATTATTCCCACCTTGTCAATTTTGCAATCCTAATTTCTAATCCTACTTTCATTCCTTCTATTACCCTAACATATTTCAAGATGCTACTGCTACTCCCAGATTTTACACATGAAATTAGATTGTTGTCAAGTATTTTCCTTCTTTTCAAGGTTAGTGTTGTAACTTTTACTGTTTCAGACATTCATTCAACCAATAATTATTGAATACCTACTTTGTGAAAGTTAATGTGTTCATGAATTCACTGTATTGGCTCAAATCATTCTTATAATTTTTTTTGTTACGTAATATGAGCCCTGTCATTCTTAAAGTGCATGTTCAAGATTCACAACTGAGTAAATGTTGGAACAAAGCCATTCCTTCCTGTTATCTTCATCTTGTTTTGTTTCTAAAGGAATCCACACTTGTCTATCAGAAGTCCTATAGTGCGTGCACGCACATATGTGTCTGTTTAATCCAGTTTTTTATCTTAAGTAGCAAAAGTGATACTTTTTTCTGCATTATTAATAAAAGTCATTGATTGTAAATGCTTTTTTTCTCAGCAGTTTTTACTAATACTACCTTCATAAAGTAGTTTGCTTTCTTATATAAAATTTGCATGTTAAAATAATTATTTGGCTCTTTCAACAACATATGATATTGATGGCTTTTCAAGGTCTATTACTATTACTCTTATTATTATTATTGGAAAATTCTGTCTCCAATTTTTTTTATATCTTTGCAACCTATGCTACACAAAACTTATTTAAGGTAGTTAACCTACTGAATTAAAGTTTATGCATATACAAATGAATATGGGAAATCAAAGTCAGATAGTAGTGATATTTAAAGATTTAAATATCAAGCTGGAGACAAAATATACTCAAAGTCTTTGCTTTGGAAAGCTTAAATAAGACATTTCCTTTAAAAAATGATGAGCAATTGGGATTGCTACCCCTCAGGTTGTGTATAGATTCCACTTACCAGCACGAAGTTAATCTAGAGTCAAATTGACCATGAGTGACAATATTGTAAAAATCAATATTATTTTATCTATCAGTAAGAACAAAAATATGCTACCAGTTTAACTCTGGTACTTAGACTGTTGGTTGACTGAGGGGTTTTATTTTTGCAGTCATGCCATTAAAAATAGCGATGTTTGTGTGTACACAGGCTGTAATAACTGAATTCTGCTATCTGTAATTGTAAGGTAAATACATATTTAGAAGCATTAAAATATAAACATAAGCTTCTTGCAATTGATGAAATATAGTAACACATTAATTGCTAAGCACAGTGATAAAATAAACATTTAATAAATATTAGAGTATTATGATTTTAAAATACAAATCACAAATTATAGGAGTGTATTTAGTTTCCATTTCTTCAGACTTTCAAACTTTCAGTTTAGTTTTGGTAATATTTATTGAGAATGTTTGCAAAAATCTAGGCTTGTCAATCAGAACTATGTAGTTCAAATTATTCACTCTGGCACAGCTTTATTTTTTGAGCAAGGTAACATGGTTGGTGAAAAATAGACTCATGCAATCAATTTATTATCCACCTTTAAAAGGAGATGTTACGATGTCTTACTCAGTCTCACAGGATTCTTACTGATAATCCTGCTAATATCAGGAGCAATACCTCCTTACACACAGTTCTCCAAGAATACTGTTTGCCTGACTATACTACACACTGAATAGAATGCAAAATTATAATGGCTAATTTTATGTGTCAACTTGACTGGGACATGAGGTGCCCAGATTAAACATTATTTCTGATGTGTCTATAATAGTGTTTCTGGCTGAGATTAGCATTCGAACCTGTGGTCTGAGTAAAGCAGTTTGCCCTCCCCAATGTGGGCGGGTCTCATTCAATCCTTTGAATGTCTGAATAGGACAAAAAGACAGAGGAATAGGGAATTCACTGTCTGCCTGAATGCTTGAGCTCAGACATCAGTCTTCTCATACTCCCAACTAAAACTTATCCATCAGCCCCGTTTCTCAGAATTACATCAACCAGTTTCCTGGGTTTCCATGTTGCAGACAGCAGATCATGGTACTTCTTAGCTACCAGTGTTATGTGAGCTAATTCCTTATAACGAATCATTTACTATTGGTTTTGTTTCTCTGTGGAACTCAGATTAATGCCAAAATTCTCTATGTATCTGTAGATAATTATATCCTTTAAACATTTTACTATAGAAAATGAAAAGAGAAAGGAAACCCACTTTTGGAAATGTTTGGCTAATCACAGACTGTCTCTCAATATGTATGTATAGGAAAACTATTCAAGATACTCTACATTTTGTACTATCTTACATGAGAGCTTCAGAAATGCAAAACTCTCCTCACATCAGTACTTTTCTTTCAAATATAGCTTAAGTATGTTAAGTATCCTAGTTTAACTTAATGTGTTAGCATGGAAAAATTACTTTGCAATTTCATTTTTTAAAAACAGTTTTGTAACACCCAATGCTTTACTAAAATAAATATTTTTTATATTTTTAGAATTCCATATTGAGCAGCACTAGGCAATGAATCTCAAGGTGATGCAAATATTAAGTCTTAGAAGATCAGTGATCTTTTATCTGTTTTGACTGAGTAGGGAATGCCTTTAAATGTTCTTAAATTCTCCAAATACGGACTCTTCAATTTACCAGATATCTGTTTTTTAAAACTTTCTTTATAACTTAATAAAGATTGGAAGAGAAGGACAGGTGGCATTTTAAAGAACAAAAACTGTGACTAACAAGGTTATCAGATGCATTTTAGTATTTGAAAAACAATATTGGTAGATGTTGGATTTGGTAGAGCATGTGAGAAACATTAGTGATAGAACATAGAAAATTAATAAAATGAAAGAATAAGTCAACAACTGGTATTATTTGAAGATGATGTCGACAACATAGAAAAAAGGAACCTATAGACAATAAAATGTGTAAGAAATTTTGCCAACCTGTAGTCATAAGATCTTTATATAAAAAGCAATTGCATTTCTATATCCCAGTAGTGATTAGGCAATGTAAAATTACTTAAAAGCTACTATGTAAATAGCAAAAAATATGCGGTACATAGAAATAAATCTAACACAAGAATTATAAGTAAAAGTATATGGAAAGACATTAAAATTATCTAAAAATGAAAATGGAAGAGGAGGATAAGCAAAAGAAGAAAAGGAGGAAGAGAAGGAGGAGGAAAAATCCAATATATTTGGTTAAAATATCTACATATATTTGAAAATATTGAGACTCCCCATAAATACTAGAATATTTTGGAATATTTCAAATTCCGAAATGAGTGAGACAGACTTTGCCCTGGGGAGAAGTGTACTTAAAAAGAAGACTAATTACCAACTTATGATATAGCAGATGTGTGTACAAAGGGGTGAAGTGTACCAAGAGGTTGAAGACGCTAATTATGTTTAGGTGGAAACAGGAGTTAGTTAAGGAAGACTCCATAAAGGAGATAATAATTTGAGCCTTGAAGAATAAGTAGGTGTTTACCAATAGAGAAGAAGAATATATTTCAGGAAAGGAAAGAAAGTGTAAAGTCTGAAAGAGCATTGTGTATACTGGGGACTGCAAGTAAATCAATATTACAGCTACATATGGCCAGGGTCATTATGGTATATCTGGGTCAATGTACTCAAGGATTTCTGGAAAAAGAGAGTTTATGATATTTTTCTTGACAATAAATAAAAATATTATTTTATATTAAGACACATGTAAATATGTTATAGAGTGAATAACATTTATGGGATTTCATGTAAATTGTGTACTTGAAGATGACTACTTTGCCCATATGATAACTTCAGACCGTGTAAGTAAATGTTAACTTTTCACAGCAGTTATGGATAATTTGCCATCCAACTTTAAGAAGCTCAACTGTAGGTGATAAGTCACTTTCCAAGTATTATAAAATCATCATTTGACCTGGGATCAGTAATATCTGTGGACCAGAATTTGGATAACAGTATCTAATGGATGTCCACAAATGGCTTAAAAGCTAATGTTTCAGGCTGGTGGGAGGCTTGGTTCATGGAATCACAGTGGTTATCACTCTAGTCATCTCCACTCCAGCTATAGGAAAGAAGAGAAGAAATCCTTAGTTAGAGATTCTTCCTTGCACCCATTTGTGTCATTCATATTTCACTGGAGAGAGCATAGACACATGGACCATATTTATTTATCAGATAGACTGAGAAATACAGTCACAGCCTTGTGCCCAATAAGAAAGGAAGAGGCGGCCAAGCATGGTGGCTCACACCTGTAATCTCAACACTTCAAGAGGCTGAGGCAGGCGGATCCCGAGGTCAGGAGTTCAAGACCAGCCTGACCAATATGGTGAAACCCTGTCTCTACTAAAAAGAAAATACAAAAATTAGCTGGGTGTGGTGGTGCACACCTGTAGTCCCAGCTACTCGGGAGGCTGAGGCAGAAGAATTGCTTGAACCCAGGAAGCAGAGGTTGCATGGGCCGAGATTGTGCCACTGCACTCCAGCCTGGGCAACAGAGAGAGATTGGAAGAGGCCAGTTTGCATCTATATACCTCCAAAATGCATTTACTTTAATTATTATAAAGCCCTGTTTATTGCAGCCAAATTCATTCAAGTATATCTGCCAGCATTATAAATGTTTTTCCGTATTGAAAAACATAAAGCTGAATTTTCTAAGATGTCTATTACATTAGTCTGTTTGGGCTACCATTACAAAATATCTCAGACTACATGGTTTAAACAATAGAAATTTGTTTTCTCACAGTACTGAAGGCTAGAAGTCCAAGATCCACGTTCTTTCCAGTTCAGATTCTGGTGAAGGCTCTATTTCTGCTTTCCATATGGCCACCTACATTCAAACATGGCCTTTTCTTTCCTTTTCTTATAAAGGCACCAGTCCTGTTGGATTAGGATCATGACCTCATTCAACCTTAATTATCTGATCTTTGACAAATCTGACAAAAACAAACAATGGGGGAAGGATTCCCTATTTAATAAACGGTGCTGGGAGAACTGGCTAGCCATATACAGAAAATTGAAACTGGACCTTTTCCTTACACTTTATACAAAAATTAACTCAAGATGGATTAAAGACTTAAATGGAACATCCAAAACTATAAAAGCCCTAGAAGACAATTTCAGCAATACCATTCAGGACATTGGCACGTGCAAAGATTTCAGGATGAATATGTCAAAAGCAATTGCAACAAAAACAAAAATTGACAAATGGGATATAATTAAACTAAAGAGATTTTGCACAGCAAAAGAAACTATGAAGTGAACAGACAACCTACAGAATGGGAGAAATTTTTTGCAACCTATCCACCTGACAGAGGTCTAATATCCAGAATTTACGAGGAACTTAAACAAATTTACAAGAACAAAACGAACAACCCCATTAAATAGTGGGCAAAAGACATGAACAGATACTTCTCAAAAGAAGACATTTATGCGGCCAACACACATATGAAAAAAATCTCAACATCAGTGATCATTAGAGAAATGCAAATAAAAACCACAATGAGATCAGAATGGCAATTATTAAAAAGTCAGGAAACAACAGATACTGCCAAGGCTATGGCGAAATAGGAATGCTTTCACATTGTGGGTGTGAATGTAAATTAGTTCAACCATTGTAGAAGACAGTGTGGTGACTCCTTCAAAGACCTAGAACCAGAAATACCATTTGGCCAAGCAATCCTATTACTGGGTATACACCCAAAGGAATATAAATCATTCTATTACAAAGATTCTTCTACATATACGTTCACTGCACCACTATTCACAGTATCAAAGACATGGAATCAACCCAAATGCCCATCAATGATAGACTGGATAAAGAAAATGTGGTACATATATACCATGGAATACTATGCAGCCATAAAAAGGAATGAGATTATGTCCTTTGCAAGGACATGGATGGAGCCGGAAGCCATTATCCTCAGCAAACTAATGCAGAAACAGAAAACCAAACACTTCAAGTTCTTACTTATAAGGGGGAGCCAAACAATGAGGAAAAATGGATACAGGGAGGGGAAAAACACACACTGGGGACTGTCAGTGGGGGTGTCGGGGGAGGAAGAGCATCAGGAAAATAACCTATGCATGCTGGGCTTAATACCTAGGCGATAGGTTGATAAGCACAGCAAACCACTATGGCACATTTTTACCTATGTAACAAACCTGCACATCATGCACATGTATCCTGCAACTTAAAATAAAGTGAAATTTTTTAAAAATTTTTTCTCCACTACCTCTCCAGCGCTGGTTATTTTTTGACTTTTTAATAATAGCCACTCTGACTGGTGTGAGATGTGTTTATGATTTGCATTTCTTTAATGATTAGTGATATTAAGCATTTTTTTCATATGCTTGTTGGCCACATGTATGTCTTCCTTTGAAAAGTGTATGTTCATGACCTTTGCCCACTTTTTAATTTTTTTTCTGTTGTAAATTTATGGTTCTTATAGAGTCTGAATATTAGAACTTTGTCAGATGCATAGTTTGCAGATATATTCTTCCATTCTGTAGGTTGTTTTTTTCATGTTGTCCATAGATTATTTTGCTGTGCAGAAGCTCTTTAGTTTAATTAGGTCCCATTTATCTGTTTTTATTTTTGTCACAATTGTTTTTGGTGTCTTCATCATGAAATCTTTGCCAGGTCCTATGTCCAAAGCATATTTCCTAGGTTATTTTCCAGAGTTTTTATAGTTTTAGGCTTTACTTTTAAGTCTTTAATCTATCTTGAGTTGAGTTTTGTATATGCTGTATGAAAGGGTCCAGTTTTAACCTGCATAGGGCTAGCCAGTTATTCCAGCACCATTTGTTGAATACGGAGTCCTTTCTCTATTGCTTGTTTTTGTCAACTTTGTTGAAGATTAGATGGTTGTAGGTGTGTGGCATTATTTCTGAGCTCTCTAATCTGTTCCATTTGTCTATGTGTCTGGTTTTGTACCAGTATTGTGCTGTTTTGATTACTATAGGCTTGTATTGTAGTTTGAAGTCAGGTAATGTGATGCCACCAGGTTTATTCTTTTGGCTTAGGATTACTTTGGCTTTTGGGGCTCTTTTATGGTCCCATACAAATTTTAAGATAGTTTTTTTTAAAAAATTCTGTAAACAATGTCATTGGTAGTTTGGTAGGAATAGCATTGAGTCTGTAAATTCCTTTGGGTGGTATGGCCATTTGAACATTATTGATGCTTCCTATCTGAGCATGGAATGTTTTTCCATTTATTTGTGCCATTTCTGATTTCTTTGTGCAGTGTTTTGTAATTCTTGTTGTACTGATCTTTCAACTCCCTTGTTAGCTGTATTCCTAGATATTTTATTCTTTTGTGACTATTGTGAATGGGATTACATTCTTGATTTGGCTGTCAGCTTATATGTTGTGTATAGGAATGCTGTTTTTTTACACTGATTTTGTATCCTGAAACTGCTGAATTTGTTTATCTAATCAAGAAACTTTTGGGCAGAGACTATGGGGTTTTCTAGGTATAGAGTCATATCATTGGTAAACAAGGGTGGTTTGACTTCCTCTCTTCCTATTTGGATGCCTTTTATTTCTTTCTCTTGCCTGATTGCTCTTGCTAGGACTTAGAGTACTATGTTGAATAGGAATGGTGAGAAATAACATCCTTGTCTTGTTCCAGTATTCAAGGGGAATGCTTCTAGCTTTTGCCCACTTAGTATGATGTTGGCTGTGAGTTTGTCATAGGTGGCTCTTATTATTTTGAAATATGTTCCTTCAGTGCCTAATTTGTTGAGATGTTCGATATGAAGCGATATTGAATTCTATTGTAACTGTTTTCTGCCTCTATTGAGATAAATAATCATGTGGTCTTTTAAAGTTCTATTTATGTAATGAATTACATTTCTTGATTTGCATGTGCTGAACCAAATTTGCATCCCAAGGATAAAGCCTACTTGATATGGTGGATTAGTTTTTTGATGCACTGGTGGGTTTAGTTTGCTAGTATTTTGTTGAAGGTTTTTGCATGTATGTTCATCAAAGATATTGGCCTGAAGCTTTCGTTTTTTGTTGTGTGGCTACCAGGCCTGGGTATAAGGATAATGCTGTCCTCATAGAATGAGTTAGAGAGGAGTCCCTCCTTCTTAAATTTTTGGCATTGTTTTAGCAGGAATGATACCAGCTCTTCTTTATACATTAGTAGAATTTGGCTGTGAATCTGTTTGGCCCTGAGCTTCTTTTCACTGGTAGGCTTTTTATTACTGATTTAAATTTGGAACTCACTGTTGGTCTGTTCAAGGATTCAGTTTCTTTTTTGTTTAGTCTTGGTAGGTTGTATGTGTCCAGGAATTTATCAATTTTCTCTAGTTTTCTAATTTGTGTACGTAGAAGTATTAATAGTAATGTCTCAGCGTTCTTGTATGTCTGTGGGGTCAGTGATAACATCTCCTTTGTCATTTCTGATTGCATTTATTTGAATCTTCTCTTTATTAGTCTAGCTAGTGGTCTGTCAATCTTAGTAATGTTTTCAAACTACCAACTCTGGATTCATTAATCTTTTTATGTTTTATTACATCTCAATTTCTTTCAGTTCAGTTCTGATTTTAGTTATTTCTTGTCCTCTGCTAGTTTTGGGGTTTATTTGCTCTTGTGTCTCTAGTTCCTCTAGTTGTGATGTTAGATTGTTAATTTTAGATCTTTGTATCTTTTTGATGTGGGAATTCAGTACTATAATAAATTGTGCTCTTAACATTGCCTTAGCGTGTCCCAGAGATTCTGGTATGTTGTATCTTTGTTCTCATTAATTTCAAAGAGTTTCTGGATTTCTGTCTTGATTTTATTACTCTCCCCACCCTCGGTCATTCAGGAGCAGGTTGTGTAAAGTCCATGTAATTATATAGTTTTGAGCAATTTTCTTACTATTGATTTCCATTTTTATTACACTGTGGTCTATGAGTATGCTCAGTATGATTTTAGGTTTTTTTTAAATTTGTTGAGGATTGTTTTATGTCCAATTGTGTGGTCAATTTTTGATTATGTGCCATGTGGTGATGAGAGAATGTATATTCTGTTATTGTTGGGTGAAGAGTTCTGTATGTCAATTATGTCTATCGTTGAGTTCAAGTCCTGAATATCCTTGGTAATTTTCTGCCTTGATGATCTGTCTAATATTGTCAGGAGGGTGTTGAAGTCTCCCACTGTTACTGTTTGAAAATCTAAGTCTCTTCATAAGTGCCTAAGACCTTGCTTTATGAATCTGGGTACTCCTATGTTGGGTGCATATACATTTAGGATACTTAGGTCCTCTTATTGAATTGAACTCTTTACCGATATGTGTTGCCCTTCTTTCTCTTGTGATCTTTGTTTGTTTAAAGTCCCCTTTATCTGAAATTAGACCAGCCACCCTTGATTTGAAAAAAACATTCTTCAAGTCTCAAACTGAGCCAACTAAATAGGGAGAATCTTTGTGGAAATATAATGTGAAATCAAAATATTGAGGCCTTGTGTTTTCTCACTCATTAAGTTTTTAAAGCACTACATAATTATAGATTAGTGCTCAAAAATAATTTCTTTGAAAAACCAACCAAAATATCACAAAGAAGGGAATTTTCCTGCAACTTTTATAACTCTTTCAAAAATATTTATTAAGACTTTGTTACATGCCAGTTATTATCCTAAGCATTGATAATGTTATTTCGGAACCTACCTTTAAGAAGCTTGAAGTCTAGTGGGTGAAATAGTATGTGAATAAGAAATTATAATAATGTGGCTGGGTGCAGTGGCTCACGCCTGTAATCCCAGCACTTTGGGAGGCCGAGGCAGGCAGATCACAAGGTCAGGAGATCGAGACCATCCTGGCTTACACGGTGAAACCCCGTCTCTACTAAAAAATACAAAAAATTAGCCAGGCATGATGGTGGGTGCCTGTAGTCCCAGCTACTCGGGAAGCTGAGGCAGGAGAATGGCGTGAACCCGGGAGGTGGAGCTTGCAGTGAGCCGAGATTGCGCCACTGCACTCCAAACTGAGAGAGAGAGCGAGACTCTGTCTCAAAAAAAAAAAAAAAAATAGAAAAAGAAATTATAATAATGTGATGAAGACTCTGATGTGAAAAGCACAAGGCACTTTAGTAGTACTTAGGAAGGGCAAGAGAGAAGAACTTCAAGGGGTATTCGAAGCTTCTTGGAATGACTAACAGACGGCTTCTGAAGGAGAAATGTTTAATCTGGAAATTATATGTGTTGAGTGGAGGGCATGGGGTGCATTTTGTGTGTTAGGAAAAAGATAACAGGGTACAATTGTTTTTATCAGAGAAACAGCATATGGGAAGGCCCTAGAGGTGCCCAGAGGTGAGAAAAAAAAAAAAAACACTGGAATCATGTCAAAATATTATCTTCCTATCAGCCCTCAAATCAAAACATATAATAGTTCTCTAGTTAATGTTTCAAAAATTTAAAACCCATATTTAGGTTTGCATAAGCTTATGAAGTTGAGCAGGTTACCATGATAAAGCTTCCAGATAGAACATGAAAGTAGTGTCCAGGTACTGCTTTTTTATATTTTCTCTTGGACAAAATGAGGTTTTCATTTGAATTTTGAGATAATCAGATAATAGGCATTAAATACACATATAGATATACACACACACACACATACACACACACACAACCTTTAAATTTTTTCTTTTATTCCAACCATTGACCACTATTTGAATAGGGATACTTTGACATTTATGCAAAAACAGCTTTTCAGATGATCTTCAGCACTTACTGTTTTATCCTTAATAGAAGGGGTATATGTAGTTTTAGGGGAAATGAGAAGGAGCATCTGTAATCAGCCTAGGAAATAAGAAAACAAGAACAAATAACTCCCTAGTTAGGTCCTGTGCCAAATTATATGTCACTTTTGAACTGATGTTTGTAAGTTACTTAGTAATAAATCATTGAGCTATGTTATGTATCTCTCATATGTATGAAGATAGAAATTTACACCCCACTTATATCTAACACCACTCTGTTGATGAATGTCAAGTAACAACTCATAACAATAAAAGGCTTACTAGTAATGGGTGCTATTGCTGCTGTTCTACTTACCTAACAACAAAAGAGAATAAAATACACAGCAAAACAGACACCACAGCATGAGTCCTCAAATTGAACCTAGCAAGTAAACTCCTTGTAGTGAATGAGAAGTCTTGATTAACAAGAAAACAGCATTATATTGAGAAACACAGTGCATCATGTATTTATACACAGGTCACTCTTCAGATGATATTAAAATGTTATGGATGAGCTATTTTCTGAACAAGCTAGAACCATAAAAGTACTCATTTATTCAAGGTTTGTCATTTTCTGATCTATTTTATATTCATGATGTGTTAAAAGCACTGTATTTCCATATCTATTACCTACTGCTATATATTTAACAACTCAAATGTTTTGTGGCTTAAAACATTTTTTTTTAATTTCCCATGATTCTGGGAGTTGACTGGGTTCAGTTGGGAAGTTGGAATTTCCTACTGTGTTGCAATAAGATGTGAGCTGCAGCTGATATAATCTAAAGACTTGACAGAGTCAAGAAGGATCACTTTCATGACTGGAAGTTGATGCTGGCTTCTCACAACATAGCAACTGGGTTACCAGAGGAAGCTTCCCAAAAAGGCGCATTCTAAGAGACCCAGGCAGAAGCTGTAGATTTTTTACAGCTTAGCTCTGGAAGTCCCAAAATATCTTGTCTGCAACATTCTATCAGTAAGACAGGCCAAGAAAGCCACCCTAGATTCAATGGCAGGGAAGTTAAACTCCAACTCAGTGGAGGATTGACAAGTTCATATTGCAGAAGAGCATGTTGGATGCTCTTTGGAAAATATATTCTGCTGAAGTTCCTTAGGGTTACTTACTTTGGTTGATAAGTCTAGACTTTTACAATAAAGATTAACTGCCATCAATGCTGATTCAACAAAACTGAATAATAATAGAGACCTATCTAACCACTATTCTTAAAGACTATGATGTATATCATCATAATGTAGTATAGGGTTTCCCAGTTTCTAGCATATGTATCTCCCTCTATTATTCTGGCACTCTTTCTTAACACTATCTGGACTATATCCGGTGCTGGTATCTAACTCACATTTCTTTCCTGGGCCAACTTGCTAGTGTATCACTTTCTTTTTCACTTAAAGAAAGTTCCATTGCTCAGAAAAGGGAAAGGAATAGTCTGTGTATCTTACTAGCATATCCTTATTCTGTCTGGTTCTTCACTTAGTGAGAAAAAAGAGAGGGAGTGCAAAAAATATTTTGGTTCTGGGAGTTGTCTCTGCTTAACCCTTGAATCTCTGTCAAACCTACTAACGCCACCAAAGCATAAAATCTTAAAAAGTGTTTGCAATGCAAGTGGATCTTCCAGAAAAGTGGGAAAGTTCCTGTGTACTTCCCGGCAAATATAGTTCCTTTTAAATATTAGGGAAATGTAATTGATTCTAATTCTGAACCTTAAACTTGGCCACAGAATAAAACATTTCCAATCTGAGAGCTAGTATTTTTCTTACAAGAATTCAGAAAATTGAATCCCAACAATAAAATATGTACCTTTTTTTTAGGCTTGTAATGGGGTTGATGACACTTTTTTCTGCTTGTTATTTATTAATGTGTGCACTTAATTAATGCCAGATATTGGGTATACAGCTTTAAACAAAACAGACAGAAATCCTTGCCTTCATGAACAACAGTTTAGATTTACATACACACACACACACACACACTTTAAATTATATAGTTAAGTGTCCACATTTTACCTAATTCTTTCTAGCCTTCATTTTCTGCTACAAGAGAAACAAATATAGACTAATTTGGTTAGTTAGCTTTATAAACTAACATACTGGGACAATATACAGTGGCATGCATTTTTAGAATTTGAGAAAATTTGATAGGATAGATTAATTGTATTTATGTTTTTAAACTTCATGAATTTAAAATAATATGCCCCCTTTCTTCCTGAAAACAAAATCATTTTTACCTCTTGCTTATTTTATAATCTGGTAAGGGTCTTTAGAGGGCACATATACATTGGCATACATTGGTTAAATTTTGTTAAGAAATAATTCACTAAAATGTAACCTCCATTATTGTACAAATTTCAAGTCTTTTTGGGGAGAGGAAATTTAGATGTAACATATAGTTGAGCCAAAGTTAACCAAGCCATACTGACATCATCACTAGTGATGTTTTTGACAAACAACAAATTAAATAATCAGTTATCATGCAATTCTGAGTTCCAGCATAAATGGAGTAGAAACAAACCAATAATGCCAAATAGAAAAAGATAAAAGCAATACTAAAATAAAAGTGATATCCTAGTCTCCAAGAGAATGTTACAATGAAAATGAAACTCTAAAGCCTTCTGTTTCTAGATAGATACAAAATCATGTTATTTTTCAAAATCTGTTGTGAATAGTTACAGTTCTAGTGCTACTTTGCCTATGAAAATTGAAGTATAAAAGTTGAAACCTTGGTAGGAAAGAAATGAAAAGTTAGACAGGAAGTATTGATCCCATTCTTTCCTTGCTAATTAAGGTTACATTGCTTAATATTTTTTCTTCTTGATCTCACTAAAAGCATTTAGGAAATAATATGGAATATTTCCAAAAACAAAACATTGGATATTTTAATCATCATGACTTCTTTAGGAACCTTCATATTTCTCTATGGTTTTCCAAATGATCTCATCTTTATATCACCTTCCATGAAAACTGCACTTAACATGGCTTTATTTTGTCTTACTATTAAATATACATACATATATATATATATATATATATATATATATATATATATTTATATGTATTTTTTTTTTTTGAGACAGAGTCTTGCTCTGTCACCCAGGCTGGAGTACAGTGGCGTGATCTCAGCTTACTGCAACCTTTACTTCCCAGGTTCAAGTGATTCTTCTACCTCAGCCTCCTGAGTAACTGGGATTACAGGTGTGTGCCACCACACCTGGCTAATTTTTTGTATTTTCAGTAGAGATCGGGTTTCGCCATGTTAGCCAGGCTGGTCTTGAACTCCTGACCTTAAGTGATCACCTGTCTCGGCCTCCCAGTGTTGGGATTAGAGAAGTGAGCCACTATCTTTTATTTTTGGTCTGCTCAATGGTACACAGCTTTTCATTGTATAATGAAATTCATGAACCATTCCAACATTTCTGCAATATCTGGCCACAAACAATTGATATATCGGTAAAAATATACATTATATATTGTATCTATCATATCATGTACCATGGTAAGTTTTGGGATTTTAAAAATACTATGATTAAGCCAGATGCAGTAGTCATCCTCGCTACTTAGGAGGCCAATATGGGAGGATCTCATGAGGCTAGGAGTTCAAGGCCAGCCTGAGCAATACAGCAAGATTTCGTCTCTAAAAAATTTTTAAAATTACTATCATTAAAACAGTGAATGGGAAAGATTAGTAAATGAAAAATTTTATTATATCAAAAATGCCAATATATTGTCAAATCAAAGATTAATTCTCTACATATGAGGGGTTTTCAAAAAGTTCATGAAAAATGTGTATTTTGAAAAAACTATGCATGGATCTTTAAAAAAATACATTCAAATAAATTCATGCTAACTTGTTTTAATATGTCTGAACAAGATCTAGTTTGAGGCATTAAAAAAGATAAGTCATCAGTTTAAAAAGAGACCCTTTCAAAGCAACATGCATTCTGCTAAAATTGAAGCAAGAACAAACATCACATTTATGGCGATGCTTGAGTGGAAGAATGGTGAAACCATTAATGCTTCACAAAAGGTTAATGGGGACAGTGCCCCCAAAGAAATCCACAGTTTACAAATGGAGAACTCCTTTTAAGAAGGAACAAGATTATGTTGAAGTTGAAAACTGTAGTGGCAGAGTATTCACATCAATTTGCAAGGAAAAAAGTTCACCTTATTTGTACCCTAACTGAAAAGGACTGACAACAGCAGGAACAATAGCCAACACCATAGACATTTCAATTCGTTTAGCTTACACAAGTCTGACTGAAACATTAAAGTTGAGCAAAAACTTTCCATGTTATGGGTATCAAAACTGTTGGACCCTAATCAGCTGCAGACAAAAGCAGAGCTTTCAGTGAAAATTTTCAACAAGTAGGATTCTGAAGCATTTCTTTGAATAATTGTAACAGGAGATGAAACATGACTTTACCAGTATGATCTTGAAGGTAAAGCACAAAGTGATGACTATGGAGAGGTAGAAGTGGTCCAGTCAAAGCAAAAGTGGATAACTGGTCAAGAGTGAAGAGCATGGCAACAGTTTTTTGGGATGCTCAAGGCATTTTGCTTGTTGACTTTCTGCAGGGCCAAAGACTGATAACATCTGTGTAATATGAGAGTGTTTCGAGAAAGTTAGCCAAAGCTCTAGCAGAAAAATTACTGGGAAAGCTTCACCAGAGAGTCTTCTCTACCATGACAATGCTCCTGCTCATTCCTTCTGCAAGAATTTCTATGGAAAATCCTTAGCCATTCACTTTATAGTCCTGATTTGGCTCCTTTGACTTCTTTTTGTTTCCTAATCTTAAAAAAAAAAAAAATCTCTTTAGAGGGCACATATTTTTCTTCAGCTAATAATGTAGAGAATACTGCAATGACATGGTTAAATTCACAGGACCCTCAGTTCTTTAGGGATGGCCTAAATGGCTGGTATTATCACTTTAAAAAGTGAGTTTAACTTTATGGAACTCATATTAATAAATGAATTTTATATTTTTTATTTTTATCTTTTGATTCCCTTTTTCCATGAACTTTTTGAAATCCCCTGGTATACAAGTATATACACATAATACACATTCATTTGAACTAATTGTCATTGATGTTATATTTTATTTCACCATAATGAACAATAAGCCATTATTAGTTGTAGCTGTAGATGAAGCTAGGCTTGACCCAGATCTTATTTTCTAAATACCATTTTTTAATAAAATAAGCCAGAGCTCATTGGGAAAATTATTGATTCTAGGACTTGGGCAATACAACATGAATCTAGAGCATCTTACATAGTGCCAGAAAATAAGAAAGTGGTAGAAAAAAACCTCAAAAGGATAGAAGCATCTAAATGGTCAAAACTGGAGAAACTTGAGCAATAAATAATAATATAGATTATATTTTTGTATTGTACTGGAGTATAATCCATAATATGAAATAAATATACATCAGTTCAGACTGACACAAATTAATGATTTAACAAATGAAGCAGAAGAGATAAATTGTCAATAGAGAAAAATTTAAATATTCTATATAGAAACTTCCACCTCCAGGAGATGGAATGTAAACCATGCCCCCCATTCCCTAATACACACACACGCACGTGCATACACACACACACACACACACACACACACACACACACACACACACGGGTGATGACTAGACAGTGGCTCACTTCCAAAGAATAAAGTTATCATGTACTTTCTTATACAGTGTGATAATAAGGGCATTTCACCTTTTTATTATTCTTCCTCAAAACCCATAACCCCAGTTTAATTATAAGAACATCACACAATCACGCAATCACACACTGAAGGACATTCTGCAAAACACCTGACCAGTACTCTTCAATACTGCCAAGGTCATGATAAGGAAAGACTGAGGAACTATGACAGACCAGATGAAACTAAAGAAACTTGACTAACTGCACTGTTATATTCTGGATTAGATCCTTAAAAAGGAAGAGGACATTAGTGGAAAAACTGTTGAAAAAGAAAATTCTGGAGTTTAATCCATAGTGATGTACCAATGTTAACTTTTTAGTTTTGGTAAATGGTATGTAAGATGTTAACATTAGGAGAAGTAATAGATCAAACACAGGAACTGTGTACTATTTTTGCAATTTTTATGTGAATTTAAAGTTATTAAAAAATAAATGTTTATTAAAATTGGCTTGGTAAACTTTTCTCAGTATGGATTATTATTATAAAATATATTTTTAATTATCATTATATAAATAGTTGAAATAACTCATTGTCCTAAGGCTCATGACATCATTTATTATTACTTTGGAGTACTGCTCCCTCATTATTTTTTGTTTTATTTATGCTGTAGTGTAGTTAAGTATATTTGCATTTACACTATCTACACTTGACTACTTATAATTGAGATCCGTGGTGTGGCAGATTTTCCTCTGTCTTAACTAAAATCTGTCTGATCCTTTTTCTGGGCACACGCCTGGGCTATATTCCCCAGCCTCCTTTGTAAGTGAGACTACATGACTGCCTTCTGGCCACAGTATGGTCAGAGGTAATAAAATGCCAGTTTTACACTAAGGCCATTGAAACTTCCCATATATGTTCATCGTTCTGTTCCCCTCTACAAGCTGAAGAGAGAGGACACCAAAGATTTAGAACTGTTTACTTTGGTACACCTATTTGCAAGAGGATTATAGGGTCAATCGTCTGAGTATTTATAGTGTAATTTACATACATTGCCAATTTGTTTTCTTTTTTTTGCTGAATTATTTTCTAGAATGGTTATACTGATTCCTTCTGGCCAGCAGTAAATGAATCCTTCTGTTTCACAAAATCCACAATGTTGACAATTCTGTTTTCCTTTGTGTGCATGTTGTGTTTTTTTTTGTTTTTTTTTTTGCCATTTTACACATTTTACAACAAGAAAATGTATCTTGTTTAAGTGTGTGGTATTATGGGATAAATAATGATGCCATTCTTAAATATTTATTAACCAATTTTATTTTTTTTGTATGTGAAATGTCTAGTCATGTATTAGTGCCATTTTTCAATTATTAAATTCTTTTCTTGATTTTTAAAGACCTTCAGATATATTAAGCAGATTAAAACATTTGTAATCTTATGTTTTGCAAATATTTTATAACTTACTTGAATTTTATATTGATTTGTAATATATGATTTACATAATTTCAGAGATTCACTCTTTCTCTCTGTGAGTGCTTCTTCTACTTTTGTTCTTACAAAGACCTTTCATAACCTGAAATTCAATACATATTCATTTACATTTTCTCCTCTTTTTAATATTATACTTTTTTTGCATGTAACTATAATCCATATGAAATTTATTTTATTTTGTACTGTGAGGTAATTAATTTTCTTTTTGGTAATAAATAATTAATAGTCTCATAACTGATTATTTACTCATATTTTCCCCACTGATTCATGTCACCTTTATTGTAGGCTATGTTAGATCTATTTATTCTATATTTTTAAATGCTCAGTTCTTACATTATTACTTTTGACACCTTATTTTCTGCAAATTCTAGCTAATTCTAGTCATTGCTTTTGCATATTTAGCTTTCCTAAATCTATTTTACTTCTTAGCTAAACACATGGTTGGCCTAAATGTAATATATTTTTTAATATTATACCACAACTTTAATATTGGAATAAACCAAACTTGCTTTTGGTATAGTCTTTTATTATAAAAGCCTAGATATTGTTTACTGGAATTTTTATTTCCCAAATTAGCATCTCTGTTCATAGGTGAGTTTTATCTGTTTTTTTGTGTGTGTGTTACCATCATCTGGCTTCCTTGTTTTGTTTTCTGTGCTCTGAATCTGTGATCTCTCCACATACTAGATTTGCAATTTCCATGAGGTTAGGGATCATGGTTTTCTTGACCACCACTTTATTATTAGTGCCTAGCAGCCTATCAGCACCTAGTAGGTAACACAGAATGAATGAATTTGTTAAGTTTGTACTTTATCTGTTATTTGAAAGATTAAAAACACACGTTTGAAATTCTTATGTGATAAAAGCCTTGTGAAGGCAGAAATTCTATGACATTAAAAAAATTCTTCATAAATGTTTACATTTTATCTGAGAATTGATTTTTTCCCAGAAAATATTTTAATTCAAATTTTAAAATATCTTAGTGGATACTTATAAATAGTATTATATTATGAATGGAAAAATATTTCACCTATGTGTTTTCTAAAATTTACTTTTATTTTACTGTAGTTCCAGTTACTCAATAAGAATATTTTTATTCTCACAACGCAGTTGCACTATTTTCCTTCATTTATATTATAACTGGCATGTTATTGTTTTTGTTCCTACTGTTTAATGGAAATAGTCGTATTTGCCAGTCATCAAGTATATTGATCTTACTTGCTCTGCCTCACTAATATCCGGTGGTCATTACAATGTTCCTGCCTGATCTGAAACTAAAAGGCTCTGCTACTTAGTCATTACTTTAGTGAGATGTGCTGGACTGGTGCCGGATCTCCTGCTTTCACTTCCTGATCAGCTATGTGACTGTGTAGATTGGAATTAATTTTGGATAATTTGAAGTAATCATGAAAACTATAGCCTAGAAAGTGTGCACTCTTCCCATGGCTACTCTTGCCTTTATTTCCCTCTGCTACTGGCTTCTTTCTAGTAATTTGTTATGTCCAGTACAATTCTGTTTTGAGCCCTGTTAATTATTGGTTTTGTAGTCTCAATTGTAGTAATGGTGGTCAACAGAGAATGGCTTTGAGTTGCACAGAACACTGTTGTTACTCATTAAAGCAATGAATTGTTTACTTTACTTAGTGATAGTTCCATGTCTCTGAGGTAAGAATATGCATTAAGATTTGATTGACATAATTTATTTCCTTCTTTCTAAAGGATTCCACTTAGTGGCTACATGTAAGCTTTAATTATCAGACACTCCCTTTGAAATCAGACAGATGCCTGGCCACTCATCCTAATTTTCACTGCTTTGTTGGTTTTATTTTCTTTCTTAATTTTTAATATCTTTCTATGGAAAAATTGAGGAAGCAAAATTAGGACTTCCTAGCTAGCCAGCATTTAAGCCTGAACCTTCTCAGGAAAATTATCTTTTTTCAATGGAAGATTTGCTTAGTGAACTGTAAATGGTCCTATTATATGATGTTATATGTGTATACACATGTATAACATCAAAAATACACATATAATATATATATACATATACATTTTTGCTCAGTTTTTACTGATGATAAATCAAGATAAAAATGTATATATGATCTTTAATATAAACCCACTTAGGGACAGACGTTTGAATTTGAAATGAATTCAACATGTACGTAACATTAATTCAAATATAAATTCTTACATGATTTAATCTGAATTATATTTGTGATCCTCTAAATTTTTAGAGATCCCTTGAAGAGAAAAATTTAATTTTAATTTCGAAATATATGGAAATTATAAGTAATTTTATTAGAAGCACTTTTTATAGGGCATTACAAACATCCCCATTAGACAGATTCCATGGACAAGAGAGATCATAAAGCTGCATACAATAAAGTTCTTCCTTTCATCTGTGAACTGTGGTTCTTTTGAGCCTCTAGTTTCTCACTGATATGCTCAGGATGTTATGATGATACTTACCTTAATGGACATTTGCTATTTCTGTCTTCTACCTCTTCCTCCTTTCTTATGACAGCAGAATCTCTTCTCCTGAATAGGGAAATGATCTATGCTTGGTCAGAGAACTACAATCCCTTGGCCAGAATGATTAAAGTAGGGATGACCAAATGACTTGGGAAGGTTCTGTGAGACACCACACTGGGAACTTTCTATTTCACATAGTGGGAATACTATCTACTTCCACTACCGGAGTAGGTAAACTAAGAAGATATACATGTAGCTAACATGCTAAGAAAGCACAATGTGTGGATTTTTGTCTTTTACTGTCCGTTTAAACTTAATCAGCAACAATATTCCCTTGCCTCTAGATTAAAAACTCAAAAAGTTCTGTAAGTTTTTTAGGTATTAAAACTTTGTTTTGAAATTTAGTTAAAATATATTTGTAAACATATAGAATTAAGGATAAAAAAATGCTTATTTTAAAATGTAATCATTTCATATTTGCAAACCTAAACAGATGGTATAAAATCCATACCATTAAAAATGTTCATGATGCAGTGTTGTGCTCATGGAATATACCTTGCTGTAATTCTAGAGTTTGTTGTCTCCACATTTCAGGGAGCTGAGAATCTGGTACACTGAAATTCATGAGAGCGACATGCCAAAGCAGTAATGCAGCATAAAAAACCTTTTAGAACACATATTTAAAAAATACATTTCTGCAGGAATGCCTAGATAAAAGGGCAATACAATTTTTCTTTTTCCTGGCTCAAAATGAATGATATTGCAGCTTAGCATTTTAAATGAAGATTTTAAATACAAAACTGAGAGTGAAACATCACATATATCTCTCCTGCTTAATTTTCTGAAAAACAGACTCCTTAAAGTCCCAGCCCACTCTGGTCAGTGTTCTCAATTACAGCTTTTGTAAAGCCGAGGGAAAGTTGCTTTACCCTGTTTACATTTCAACATTTTAGGCACTTTAAAATACAGGACACTGTTGACTCCAGAAGATACTTTGAACACAACCGAAGAAAACCAAAGGTAGGCAAGAAAGACACGTGCACAGCAGCAAATGTACAGCAAGGATGCAGCGATTCCTCCCTTCTCTTCACACGGGCTCAGCTCACTTATACCTGTGCCACTGTTCATTCCTCTGAGCATTACAATGTGATGGCCAAATTTTTTTTTAATCAGTTAGGCACCTTCAATTTTATGCTACATTATTAGTAATACAATGGCAAGTACTAGCCCATGAATTTTCTGCCCACCTTTAGAAAACAGGCCATGTTACAATGTAGTCAGTTTGTCCTGAAACAAGCCTCCAAAGAGAGATTAAAATGTTCCAGTCCCATTTATAATCCCAAAACTGTGAAACTGACTCGACTGCACTTGTTTTTCCTTCCTTTCTCCAGCAGTGTGAAGAGGATATTGTGTAGTTGCTATCTCTTTTCCTTTAACTTGAGCTTCTCCTTGCCTCCTTTCCCCCCACCTTTTAGCTGTGGTTTGGACTTTATAGGGATGGGAAGTATGGACAGGGAAAAGAGAATAGTTCCCACGTGTATTGAATAATTAGTTGGCTTTAAGCCCTCTGGGCTGACAGGTGTATAAAACTGAACCTCATGTGTACTTGTGTGGGGTCTAGGGGCTCTTTCCTAAACCTCTATTTTCATGACCCAGGCAGATACCTATTTATTCTCCTCTGCAGCAACTGGGTAACATCTAGCCTCTTTCTGCTGATGTCCACTTGCCACTCTAGATGGCTGTATTAGACAACAGTCAACACAATTCTATTACGGTTTTCCATCTCTTCTGACACATATTTGATTTATGAGAAAAACTTGTGCATTTCTAGTCTTCAAGGTCTGGCAGTACATGCCAATCCCAATATCCTATCTAGGCATCTAGTTAGTTCGGGCAATGTATTTCCAAAACCTGTAAGTCATTTTCCTAAGGCTCCTTTCTAGACTTGTTAAAAGGATAGACCCCTAACCTTTCTCTAAATGGATGGAGTGAGGGATTTATAGAACAGTGATAGTTCTTTTAACCAATATTTTCTTCCACCCTCTGTGATGCCTTTTACTGTCTTTGATTTGGGTGGTGAATCCAAGAGTTATGGAACAAGTTCTTCAACAATGTTCTTGTAAATTCCTTACATCTACAAGATGGTCCCAGGAAGATCCGCTCCTTATATAAGTCTGGGATCCTAATGAAAGAGAGAGAAATTGAGAGAAACAGTTGCAGAGAAAAAGAGAGGGAGAGAGAGAGAGGAAACACAGCTGAGATAAAATATTCTGAGGCATTGGATTCTGTAGCAGCAGCAGCAGCAGCTGATTTTACCATTTTTATTGTGGCTGCTGCTATTATTGCAGTAATACAAAATTTTAAAATAATGTATATCAAATTGTGGGCAAAATCAATACCTTTTTAAAAGGAAAATCTCAATGAAGTTATTTATTGAAGGTTTCTTTCTGTTTGAAGGAAAACCAGAAGTATTTCCAAAATTTTTAAGTTATAATTATATCTTAGTTTTATTCCTATTCTTTTATCATGTAGAATGGAGATAACTGTAGTTCCATGTCAGTACATCTGATATGAATTTTAGCCTATAAGTGCCAGTACATTTGAAATTTAATTTAAAATATGTCCAACTGTTTTTCATTTCTCTTAGCACTATCTTTGTAAATTGTATTTATAGAATTATAGGCATTTTTTACATAACAAGAAAGATGGTAAAATGGAAGTACTTAAAAACACATATGTTTAGAGGTAAAAGACAAAATAGCATAAAGAGTCTTAAAGCTAAATAATCACCATCATTAACAATTCATTTGGACTCAATAAAAATAATTACAATATATACAAAATAACACATTGTGATTTTTAAAGAATATCTTTCACAAAAATTGCTATGCTAGAAATAAAAACAGCCAGTGAATGACTCAAACTTGTATTACATTTAATTAGTTTTCTTGTTGAAGCACATCTCAGAGAAAATGTACACAGAATTTATATGTATCTCTGAACTTGATCTATCTCTCTCTCTATATATATTTGTTTTTTCCAATAAAATATTTTTACACTTTCTGTATTTTTGGTACAATGCAGCTCACTGATAGAGAGTACCACTTATAGGATTTGCAGAAAATATGTATTCACAGGACAGCAGGCCTCTTAAAGTCTCATGGTTATAGTCATATTCAGTAAGGAAACCAGTTAAAGTCTAAAATAAAATAAACAAAACTTACTTAAAAATAGGAATATTTAACAGAGTCTTTATTTAGAAAATAGTGTTCATTTTAACGAGCATTGCTATGCTTAAGAACACATACAATGATGCAGCCAAAGGTCATGCAATAAAATCACAAAATGCCCCACGTGATGGGAAAAGCACACATTTAAAAATAGGCATCATCAGCATCCTGTATTTTGAAAGGTCCTAAATCATTTCAAATCATTCTAAAGAAGGTGAATAGAGCTGAGCTGCTGCTTTGAAGTAGTTTGTTTTTCAGTTCTTATCTAGGAATAAAAATTAGATCTAAAAATTCCATAGCAGGAGGCTTTATGACACCTATAAAACTCACAGCAATTAAATTGCCATGGCTTTGAACTAGTTTTTTAAATAATTTTTTTTGTGGAACGTTTTGAGATGAGACTGAGGAACTTGTAGTGGGTTTGTTCTTTGTTTCTAAACACAGATTTTTTTTTTCTTTTTTTTGTATTAATGCAAATATTATTGAAATCCCTGATTTGGCTTTGAAAAATGTCTAAATTGTCTGATAGGTATTGAAACTCTCTAAGTTTATAAATACAACCTGATTACAGTATAGGAATCATAATGATTCTAGTATATTTACATATATTGTTATTAATTTCCTATTAGCATCAACAACTTACTGTTAAAACACAATACCTCTATGCAAAACTTCCAAGTCACAGTCATTTCTCAATTATTAATTTAATTGTTAAAATGATATTAATAATAAGTGGCAACATATTTTATTCAATATTCAAAGTGCAGGTCTTAAAACCATGAACTGGATCTTAGTCCCAAATCTATCTATTCATATTTTTGCAATTTTAGACAACTAGCACAAACTTTTTAGGCTTCTGATATTTCCTTCTTAAATGTTTCATAGAGATAGTGTGTGTTTCAAATGCATGAAAGCATATTTTAAACTCTAAATGCTTTCAGCACTACTAAGTATATTGTATATTGAAGTACTTTATGTAAATTTTTCACTAGTTTGGGAAGTTTCCTATGATTTTGGAAATTCTTTTCTTTAGAAAAGTATATTTGATATAGAAGTTCACATCCCTATGCTTGTAAAAGCTAAAAAGGTAATGAAATACAGTGTAGAGCTGAATGTCGTTTCTTTTTATCAAGAAAGAAAAGAAGCAAATGGGTATAACTGTCAAACTAAGTAAATGCATACATGATAGAATTAAGCATTGTTCTTTAATGGGTTATTTTCCGTTACTGAAGGCAGTTTAAAGGTTAATACAGCGTCTTAGGCCAATGGGAGAAGCTTTGGTTTATTTTTTAGAGAGTATAAGGATATATTCTAAAGTTCTATTTTATTTACTTTTCCTTAAGAAGACGAGGGAAAAGGAGAAGATATTTGCTGTCTGTAGTATTTCTTAAAGAATACTAGACAGATTATCTTGCCTTTGAAATGGAGAAGGGAAAGGCATATTAAATATGATTATGCTCAGATACTTAGTATGTTTGGTTTAGAATGTAAGATAAATCAGAAGCAGCCTTTTTGGCAGCCAGACCTGGCCATTAAAATATTTCATTTCTCAAGTATTATTAACAAATTTATCTCTCTTCACATTCTAAAGCCTTATTTCTTTGAATTTTCTAGAAAAAAATGAGTCAACGAAATATGAGCTTTTACACTAGAGAGAACCGGTAAAGATTGGGCTCTTTTCTTATGGGTAGCAGAAGGGTAGAGGAGAACTCTAAGAGGATTAAACTCATTCAGATGATATTTTGACTCTCAGTCAAATAATTGCTCAAGAGGGGCATCCTGTCATTCAACATCACATCTGTTTTGAGACAGAATGCTCAGACTGTGCCTTGGAACTAGGTATTGGAAACTAGAAACCTAAATTGTTGGTGCCACTACATCTCTTTTCTCCTTTTTGTTTCAAGGAGCACTCTTCAATTGTCTGTTTAGACATATGCTTCTTTTTTAAATGCCAATTATTAAAGCGTTCCCAGTTCAATTCAATGTGGATATACTATAAAATATTTTTGAAATGTCATCTTCCCTTTTCCAAATTTCTCCCTAAAACTCAGATGACTTGAAAGATATGAGGCTATCCTTCTAGAATATGGATTACTAGATTACTATTTCAAATACAGGGCTGCCCTAGAGTAAAACTGAGTCCAAAAATTAATATAAAAGCATACCCAGATTCCGAGTTTCATGACTAAGTCTTTTCAACTATGGAAAAGATTTTCCCATATAAAGTTTTCAGAAATGGAGAGTATATTTTAAGATTAATTTTCACTTTTATTTTCAATTGCGGTGCAATATATATAACATAAAATTTACCCTTTTAACCATTTATAGTGGTTTAGTAATGTTAAGTACATTGACATTTTTTGTGCAACCAATCTCCAGAACTCTTTTCATCTTGCAAAACTGAAACTTTATATCCATTAAGCAACTCACCATCTCTCCCTTCAGCCAGCTTGTGGCAATCACCATTCTACTTTCTGTCTCTATTAATTTTACTATTCTAAGTACTTCACATAAGTGAAATCATACAGTATTTGCCTTTTTGTGACTGACTTATTTTACTTACCATGAGACCCTCAAGGTTCATCCATGATTTAGCATGTATCAGAATTTCCTTCCTGAATAATATTGCATTTTATATATATAACGATATATATATGTGTGTGTATATATATAGATATATCACATTGTGTTTACCCATTCATGTGTTGATGAGCACTTGGGTTGCTTCCACATTTTAGCTATCTTGAATAATGCTACTGTGGAGGTACAGCTATCTTTTTGAGACCCTGCTTTCAATTCTTTTGGATATATACCCAGAAGTATAATTGCTTGATCTTATGGTAATTCTATTTTTAATTTTTTAAGTAACAGCCATACTGTTTACCATAGTAGCTACACTATTCTACATTCCCAACAGCCATGTACAACTGTTCCAATTTGTACACATTCTTGCCAAAATTTGTTGTTTTCTATTTTTTTGATAGTAGCCATCCTGTTGAATGTGAGGTGGTATCTCATTTTGGTTTTGATGTGTATTTCCCTGATATGTAATATTGAGCATCTTTTTGTGTGTTTGTTGGATATTTGTATATCTTCTTTGGAGAAATACCTATTTAAGTTTTTTGCCTGTTTTTTAAATTGGTTTGTTTGTTTTTTGTAGTTGAGTTTTAAAAGTTTTTATATATTCTGGACACAAACTCCTTATCAGATATATTATTTGCAAATATTTGTTTCTATTTCATAGGCCATCTTTTCTGTTGATTGTATTCTTTGAAGCATGCTTTAAAACTAATTTAATGTAAACTGTTGAAATTGATAAACCAGCCAGAAATGTAACAGAACTACATTGGTTATGTCTAGATGATGTTATGTATTTCTATTTTGTTTTTTCTATCCTTATGATTTACATTTTCTGGTTAAAAATGGCCAATTGATTATGTGCACTTTAACTTCTCTCAATTCCAAAATTTTACTATGCAATAAAGGCGTAAAATAATGAATCCTTGTACAGACTAAGATAATGGAGGATTAGAAAATACATTTGTGCATTAATATGTTAGAAGAAATAAGAGAAAATCATGCAATAATCTCAGTAGATGCCAAAAAACCATGACAAAAAGTGTCCCATAAAACTCAACATACATTTTTAATAAAAATTCCTAGGAAATCAGTGTTAGAAGGAATTTTTGTTAATGTAATTAAGAGTATCTATCCAAAAACATAGAGTAAACATTGTATTCAATGTTATAATGTTAGAAGCATTTTATTTAAATTCAAGAAAGAGAAAAAGATGCGTGATATTTTTACTTCTACTTAACAAAGTAATAGAGGCACTATCTTGAGCAGTAAGAAAAAGGGAAAATAAGTGTGTGTGGAGATTGGTATGGAATAGGTCTATACAGATTGGAGCAGGAGGATGGATGGAGTTTTAAAGAACAAAAACTGTCCTTTGACTGACAAGGTCATCAGATGCATTTTAGATTTTGAAAAATAAAATTGATAGCTATTAGATTTGGTGAAATATGGGAAACATTAGTGATAGATACATAGTACATGGATAAAATGAAAAAATAAGTTCAACAACTGACATTATTTGAAGATGATGTTGACAACATAGAAAAAAAGTAAAATAATCTATGGGCAAATAATAAAATTTATGAGAGATTTTGGCAATCTTCAGTCATAAGATCATTATATTAAAAGCAATTGCATGTCTATATCCTGGTAGTAATTAGAATATGTAAAATTATTTAAAACCTACTATGTAAATAGCAACAAAATATGGGGTACATAGAAATAAATCTAACAAAAGAAGTATAAACATATATTTAAATGACCAAAATAAATGGAAAAATGTGCCATGTTCATGAGTAGGAAGATTCTCAAGTTTCAATTCTCCCAACTTGATCTATAAATTTAGTAACTAAGGATTTCTTGAGGAACTTGACAAGTTTGTTTAAAATTTATTTGCAATTATAAAGAATATATAACACACTCCTAAGGAAGAACATTCTGGAGAAATTTCCATACCACATTACAAGATTTTATAGTGCAATAGTAATTCAATCAGTGAGATATCAGACCTATGGAATAGAATTCCTCAAAACAGATGTATGCATATATGGATCCTTGATATGAAACAGGGACATGGAGCCCTTCCTTACACCATATAGAAAAATCAGCTCAAGATGGATTAAAGACTTAAATATAAGTCCCACTTACAGATCAGTGGGAAAAAGATGGACTTTGAGAGTTATACCACAAAAAATTCAATCACCCATACGGGAAAAAAAGAAATTGGATTTTTACAACATGCCATATGCAAAAATCAATTCTGGTTAGATGAAATAACTTGAAAAGCACAATTTAAAAACTTTGATAAGAATATGTAGAATCTATACTTATATAAGATTCTTTTTTTGCTTAACATATTAGAAGAAGTCTGGGATACTAAATATCTAATATAAGCTTTAGAATGAGCAAATAAAATAAGGAATTTAACAAAGAGACAATATGAAAAATTCTCCCTTGACTTAAAGGCATTCATCTCTGGAGTGAAGGAACCTGCCAATGTCCTGGTACACTTAATGGAAAAGCAAGCAAAAACAAAAGCACAAATAAATACGAAGGCACATTATTTTGAAGTTCCTGCAACAATTGGAATAATGAAACCATGAAAAAATCTTAAGGTCAATTTTGTCTTCATCTCATCCATCCCACTCCTATCCCAATCACTTTCATCACATTTTTTCACATCATCTTTTCCCTTCTATTTCTTCTTCTGATATGTGATAGTCATCCTCACTTTGCTAGGTTATTTCAATAACCTCCAAAATAACCTCTTTGGCTAAAATTTCTCTGCATTCCAATTTATGAATCCTATGTGTAGACAAATCCTAGGATTTGTCAGTCCTGGAAATTCAGATTAGCTGTGCCCCAAAGTACTGACTGACTTTCTGTTACTCTTTAAACTAAGTCTAAATTTCTCATTTTAGGCTTTAACGGTCTATATAAAACTATTGCGCTATTTTTGAACTTTCCCCCACTATGCATATGCATAGCCTGTGCTATAGCTATTTTTTGTGTGTGTATGTGTGTGTCTGTGTGTGACTATATCTTCTAGACACTGCCTCATTAGTTTGCTCACACAGTGTCATCCACAGATAAATATTATCTGCATAGGTCTGTAAAAATCCAATCTAAGCTTCAAAGCCCAATTTAAATGCTGTTTCTTTTATGAAATCCATTATGAGCCCTCGCCAATGTAAAATAGGCATTAACGTCATTGGAGATCAATATTTATTTGAACTCTTTCAAAACATTTCCTTTTTTCTGGTTTTTGCTTTGTAACTATATGTATGCTTATTTTATACATAGTATTTTATTTTAAGCCCTTTGAAGAAAGGACTTTATTTTAGACATGTTTATATTCTAGCACCTAGCATGTTCTGGTACAAGGGAAAAATGATTTGATAAATACTTGTTGCATTGAATTAAATTCTTTTTACATGTGCTATTATTATTTTTTAATTTTTATTTTAGGGTTGGGGCACATGTACAGATTTTTGCATAGATAAATTGTGTGTCATAGGGGTTTGGTGTACAGATTCTTTCATAACCCAGGTAATAAAGCATATTATCTGATAGACAGTTTTTTGATCCTCACGCTCCACCAACCTTCCACCCTCAAGTAGGTCCTAATATTTGTTGTTTTTCCCTTTGTGTCCATGTGTACTCAATGTTTAGCTTCCATTTATAAGTGAGGACATGCACTATTTGGTTTTCTGTGTCTGTGTTAGTTCATTTAGGATAATGGCCTCCAGCTCCATCCATGTTGCAGCAAAGAACGTGATCTCCTTCTTCCTATGACTAAGCAGTATTTCATGGAGTATATGTGCCACATTTTCTTTTCTTTTTTTTCCTTTTCTTTTCTTTTCTTTTTTTTTTTTTTGAGACAGAATCTCACACTGTCACCCAGGCTGGAGTTCAGTGGCACGATCTCCACTCACTGCAAGCTCCACCTCCGAGGTTCACGCCATTCTCCTGCCTCAGCCTCCCGAGTAGCTGGGACTATGGGTGCCCGCCACCACGCCCTGGTAATTTTTTGTATTCTTTAGTAGAGACGGGGTTTCACCGTGTTACCCAGGATGGTCTTGATCTCCTGACCTGATGATCTGCCCGCCTCGGCCTCCCAAAGTGCTGGGATTACAGGCATGAGCCACCGCACCCGGCCTATATGTACCACATTTTCTTTATCCAATCTACCATTGATAGGCATTTAGGTTGATTCCATTCTTGCTACTGTGAATAGTGCTGTGATGAACATATGTATGCATATGTCTTTATGGTAGAATGATTTATATTCATTTGGGAACATACCCAATAATGGGATTGCTGAGTCAAATGGTAGTTCTGTTCTAAGTTCTTTGAGGAATCACAAAACACTGCTTTCCACAAGGGCTTAACTAATTTCCATTCCCACCAGAGGTGTATAAGCACTGCCTTTTCTCTGCAACCTTGCCAGCATCTCTTATTTTTTGACTTTTTAATAATAGTCACTCTGACTGGTGTGAGATGGTGGTTTAGACTTGCATTTCTCTAACGATCAGTGCTGTTGAGTGTTTTTTTCATATGCTTGCTGGCCGCAAATATGTCTTCTTTTGATAAGGGTCCTCTGCCCACTTTCAATGGGGTTACTTGGTTTTTGCTTGTAGAATTGTTTAAGTTACTTATAGATGCTGGATATTAGACCTTTGTAGAATGCATAGCTTGCAAATATTTTCTCCCATTCTGCAGGTTGTCTGTTGAAATCTTTTGCTGGCAGAAGCTCTTTAGTTTAATCAGGTCCCATTTGTCATTTTTTTGTTGTTGTTGTTGCAGTTGCTTTTGGTGTCTTTGTCATGAAATCTTTGCCAGGTTCCATGTCCAGAATGGTATTTATTAGGTTATCTCTCAGGGTTTTTATAGATTTAGGTTTTATATTTAAGGCTTTAATCCATCTTGAGTTGACTTTTCTATATGGTGTAAGGAAGGGCTCCAATTTCAATCTTCTGTATATGGCTAGTCAGTTATCCCAGCACCATTTATTGAATAGGGAATTATTTTCCCGTTGCTTGTTTTTGTCAACTTCTTCAAAGATCAGAGGGTTGTAGGTGTGCAGCTTGATATTGGGCTCTCTACCCTGTTCCATTGTTCTATATGTCTGTTTTTTTTTTTTTTACCAGTACCATGCTGTTTGGGCTACTGTAGTCTTGTAGTGTAGTTTGAAGTTGGGTAGTGTGAAGCCTGCAGCTTTGGTTTTTGCTGTTGTTGTTGTTGTGTGTTTGCTTGTTTTTGCTTAGGATTGCTTTGGCTATTTAGTTTCTTTTTTGGTTCCATATGAATTTTAAAATGTTTTTTTTTCTAATTCCGTGAAGAATGTCATTGGTAGTTTGGAATAGTGTTGAATCTATAAACTGCTTTGGGCAGTACTGTCGTTTTAACAATATTGATTCTTCCTATCAGTAAGCATGGACTGTTTTTCCATTTGTATGTTTCATCTCTGATTTCTTTTAGCAGTCTTTTGTAATTTTTCTGTAGAGATATTTCACCTTCCCTGTTAGCTGTATTCCTACGTATTTGTTTCTTTTTGTGGCTATTGTGAATGGGATTGCATTATTGATTTGACTCTCAGCTTGGATGTTGTTGGTGTATGAGAATGCTACTGATTTTGTACATTATTTTTGTATCTTGAAATTCTGCTGAAGTTTTTTTTTTTAAATCAGATCAAGGGGCTTTCAGACAGAGATGATTGATTTTCTAGGTATAGAATCATATCATCTGCAACCAGAGATAGTTTGATTTCCTCTCTTCTCTTTGGATGCCTTTTATTTCTTTCTCTTACCTGGTTTCTTTGGCTAGGGTTCCAATACTATTTTGGACAGGAGTGGTGAGAGTGGGCATCATTGTCTTCTTCTGATTCTCAAGGGAAATGCTACCACCTTTTGCCCATTCAGTATGATGTAGGTTGTGGGTTTGTCATAGATGGCTCTTATACTTCCGATGTATGTTGTTTCAATGCCTCATTTGTTGAGAGTTTTTAACATGAAGGGATGTTGAATTTTATCAAAAGCCTTTTCTGCATCTAGTGAGATGATCATGTGGTTTTTTATTTTATTTCTGTTTATGTAATAAATCACATTTATTGATTTGCATATATTGAAACAACCTTGCATCCCAGGGAAAAAGTCTACTTAATCTTGGTGGATTAGCTTTTTGATCACTGCTGGATTTTCTTTGCTAGAGTTTCGTTGAAGGATACTGGGTAAAAGTTTTCTTTCTTAGTTGAATCTCTGCCAGGTTTTGGTATCAGGATGATGCTGGCTTCGTAGAATGAGTTAGTGAGGAGTCCATTCTCCTCAATTTTTTGGAATAGTTTCGGTAGGAATGGTATCAGCTCTTTCTTATACATCTGGTAGGATTTGGCTGTGAATCCATCTGGTTGTGGGCTTTTTTTCATTGGTAGGATTTTTATAACTGATTCAATTTTGCAACTCATTATTGGTCTGTTCAGGAATTCAGTTTCTTCCTAGCGCATTCTCAGGAGGTTGAATGTGTACAGGAATTTATCTATTATTCTAAGTTTTCTAATTTTTGTGCATAGAGGTGTTCGTAGTAATCTCAGAATTCTTGTATTTCTGTGCAGATGGTGGTAATGACTCCTTTGTCATTTTTTCTTGTGTTTATTTGGACCTTCTCTGTTTTTCTCTTAGTCTAGCTGGGCATCTGTCCATTTTATTTATTCTTTCATGAAAACAAACTCTTGGATGTATTGATCTTTGTGTGGTTTCTCGTCCCATTTTTTTTTCAGTTCAGCTCTGATTTTGGTTATTTCTTGTTTTCTGCTAGCTTGGGGATTTGTTTGCTCTTGTTTCTCTAGCTCCTTTAAATTTAATGTTAGGTTGTTAATTTTAGATTTTTCTCACTTTTTGGTGAGGGCAGTTAGTGCTATTAAACTTCTCTCTTAACTCTGCTTTAGCTATGTCCCAGAGGTTCTGTTATGTTTTATCTTTTTTTCTCATTAGTTTCAAACAATATTTTGATTACTGCCTTAATTTCATTGTTTATTCAAAAGTCATTCTGGAGCAGGTTGTTTCATTTTCCTGCAATTGTATAGTTTTGAGCAATCTTCTTACTATCTATTTCAGTTTTTATTGTGTTATGATCTGAGAGTGTGGGTGGTATGATTTTGGCTTTTTTGAATCTACTGAGGATTGTTTTATGGCCAATTATGTGGTCCATTTTAGAATATGTGCTATGTGCAAATGAGAGGAAAGTATATTCTGTTGTTTTGGGTAGAGAGTTCAGTAGATGTCTGTTAGGTAGCTTGGTCAAGTGTCAAGTTCAGGTTCCAAATGTCTTTGTATATTTTTAATTTATTTTTTTCTGTCTCAGTGATCTGTCTAATGGTGTCAGTGTAATACTACTATTATTGGGTGGAAATCTAAGTCTCTTCTTACATCTCAAAGAACTTACTTTTTAATCTGGTGCTCCTGTATTGGATGCAAATATATTTAGGACAGTTAGGTCTTCTTGTTAAATTGAAGCCTTTACCATTGTGTAATGCCCTTCTTTTTTTATCTTTGTTAGTTTGAAGTCTGTTTCATCTGAAATTAGAATAGCAACCCCTGATTTTTTTCTGTTTTCTGTTTGCTTGGTAGATTTTTCTTCATATATTTACTTTGAGCATTTGTGTGTTATTGCATGTGAGGTGGATCTCTTGAAGAAAGCGTATTGTTGGTTTTTGCTTCTTTATTGAACTTGCCAGTCTGTGCCTTTTACTTGGGGCATTTAGCCCATTTACATTCAAGGTTAATATTGATGTATGTGAATTTGATTCGGTGATCATGTTGTTAGCTAGTTATTATGCAGACTTTATTGTGTAGTTGCTTTATAGTGTCAATAGTCTATGTACGTAAGTGTGTTTTTGTGGTGGCAAGTAATTGTCTTTCATTTTTATACTGAGCACCTCCTTCAGGACCACTTGTAAGATAGGTCTGGTGGTAACAAATTCCCTTAGCATTTGCTTACTTGAAAAGGATCTTTTTTGTCCTTTGCTTATGAGGCTTACTTTGGCTGGATATTAAATTCTTGGTTGGAATTTTTCTTTTTTTTTCTTTTTTTGTTTTTTTATTTTTATTATACTTTAAGTTCTAGGGTACATGTGCACAACATGCAGGTTTGTTACATATGTATACATGTGACATGTTGGTGTGCTGTACCCATTAACTCATCATTTACATTAGGTATATCTCCTAATGCTAACCCTCCCCTCTCCCCCTACCCCATGACAGGCCCCGGTGTGTGATGTTCCCCTTCCTGTGTCCAAGTGTTCTCATTGTTCAATTCCCACCTATGAGTGAGAACATGTGGTGTTTGTTTTTTGTCCTTGCGATAGTTCGCTGAGAATGATGGTTTCCAGCTTCATCCATGTCCCTACAAAGGACATGAACTCATCCTTTTTTATGGCTGCATAGTATTCCATGGTGTATATGTGCCACATTTTCTTAATCCAGTCTATCATTGTTGGACATTTGGGTTGGTTCCAAGTCTTTGCTATTGTGAATAGTGCTGCAGTAAACATATGTGTGCATGTGTCTTTATAGCAGCATGATTTATAATCCTTTGGGTGTATACCCAGTAATGAGATTGCTGAGTCAAATGGTATTTCTAGGTCTAGATCCTTGAGGAATCGCCACACTGACTTCCACAATGGTTGAACTAGTTTACAGTCCCACCAACAGTGTAAAAGTGTTCCTATTTCTCCACATCCTCTCCAGCACCTGTTGTTTCCTGACTTTTTAATGATCGCCATTCTAACTGGTGTGAGATGGTATCTCCTTGTGGTTTTGATTTGCATTTCTCTGAAGGCCAGTGATGATGAGCATTTTAAGAATACTGAATATATGCTCCCAATCTTTTCTGGCTTGTAGAATTTCTGCTGAAGGGTCCTCTGTTAACCTGATGGGGTTCCCTTTGATGGTGACCTGCCCCTTCTCTTTATCTGCCTTTAATGATTTTTCTTTAATTTCATTCTTGGAGAATCTGTGTGTTGGGGATGGTCATTTTGTATAGTTTCTCAGAAGTCTTATCTGGATTTCCTGAATGTGAATGTTGGCTTTTCCGGTGAGGTTGGAGAAATTTTCATGAACAATATTCTGAAGTAGGTTTTTCAACTTGCTTGATTTCTCTCCCTCTCTTCCAGGGATGCCAGTGAGATGTAGATTTGGTCTCTTTACCTAGTCCTATATTTGCCAGAGGTTTCATTCTTTCTTCTTTAATCTTTTTTCTTTATTTTTGTTTGGCTATTGTGGAGAACCAGTCTTCGAGCTCTGAGATTCTTTCCTCAGCTTTGCTGATTCTGCTGTTAATACTTCGGATTATATTCTGAAATTCTTGACATGAGTTTTTCAGCTCTATCAGATCAGTTTGGTTCTTTCTTAAAATGGTTATTTTGTGTTTCATCTCCTGCATCATTTTATTGTATTCCTTAGAATCCTTGAATTGGGTTTTCACTTTCTTCTGAATCTTGATGAAGTTCATTCCTATCCTTATTCTGAATTCTATTTCTGTCATTTCAGCCATTTCAGCCTTGTTAAAAACCATTGCTGGGGAACGAGTACAGTTTTGGAGGTTAGAAGACACTGGCTTTTTGAATTTCCAGAGTTATTGTGCTGCTTCTTTCTCATCTGTATGGGCTGACGTTCCTTCAGTCTTTGAAGTTGCTGGCCTTTGGATGGGGCTTTATGCTTTTATCTTCTTTGCTGTCCTTGGGAGTTTTGATTGTGGGTTCAGTTGACTGGCTTCATTTCTGGAAGAACTTAAGGCATCATGGCTCGGCTCAGCATTTCTGGGCTACATGCTCCAAATCTTGGGGGGCGGTTACCTAGCCCCTGGTTTTGTTCTCTGGCCCCTCAAGGTTGTGAACCTTCTGCATTTGAGGGGCTGAGGTGTTCTTGTACCACTGGCCACAGCACTCTGATGTGTAGTGCTCGCTAAAGTGCTTCCTTAGAGCAGTGTCAGTGGGATCCATGCTCCTTCATGCGTTCCAGCATCAGTGACAGTGTGGTGGGGTACAGGGGCATTGGCTGGGGTGGTGTAGCAGTGGGTCTGGGGCTGCAGTGTTTCTGCATGTGCTCATGCCCACAGTGGCAGCAGGGTGCTGACAGGCGTTGGGCTGCTGAACTCCATGCTCACCCATGCAGTGATGGTGGTGTTGGCATGGGGAGGTGGGGTTGTTGGCATCCGTGTACAAATTCTCACGTGCAATGGTGGCATAGCTAGGCAAGAATTGCGGTTGGGTGTGCGAGACCCAGGATGCGCTGACACCAGGATGCTAGCATCAGTGTCATGCAGGATGTGCACACACGCACACCATTGTCGGAGGGGAGGTGACGTCTGCCCATGTACACTGGCAAAGCAGTGGAAGGGGTGGCTGTGGACAAGTGCTTGCTGGCAAAGTAGCATGAGGAGGCTACTGTGGGAGAAGAGTGGGGGTGGGCTGGTGCCTGTCGGCAGGGGCTGCTCTGCTGGAATTCCCTGATGGTCAGACATAATCTCCCAGTGAAGGAGCTATGATGAGGACTCCTGGGAAGCACCCTAGTTGGGCATCTGAGGCTGCACTGCAATAGGTGTGGCCAGGCTGGGACCCTGGGGAAGGCCAGCAAACAAGGGAGTGCTCAGATCAAACTGGCCTTGTTTCAAAGGCAAGACTGTTCTGTTCTGTCCAGGTAGTCCCTTGTGGTTAAAGTCTCTTAGAGGAGCATGATGTGCCTTGGGCATCCCTGGTAATGCTCTACTGAAGACGCTCCCACCACAAACACTCTGGGCTCTACAGAGGCTGGAGTCCTGTCCCTACCACCTCTCTAAGCAGCTCTCTCTGCCACCTCAAGTGCCCTTGGGGGTTGTGGGGTCTCCAGCTGCCAGGATTCCAGTGGTCTATGGTGAGAGGGGATCATCTTGCCTATTTAACTCACCCATTCCCCAGGAGTCACTGGTGGCCAAAAACGAGTTCTGGTGCACAGTAGCCCCATGGTGTGTTCCCAGCTTCCTTGCCCTTCAGCCCAGCACCTGTGTCTTCCCTCTGTTGACTGTTAATGCCTTTCTTCCAAATATCTGCTTGGAGTGTACCAGTCTTCCTGATGTTCAGGTCTCTTAGTGGGAGATGTTCTTCCTGGCTACAGCTAGTTGGCTGTTTTGAATCTGCCTGAGTTAAATTCTTAACTTTGTTTAATTAGAATATAGTTTTAATATAAAAAAGAGATTTGATTAAAATTTTCATAATAAAAGTAGGCTTTATATGTGTGAATTAATTACTTGAGCTTGATGTATTGAGATCTCAAAAAACATATTGGCATGGGCCTAGGTATAAAAAAATGTGTATAATCATTTCATTATCATAATACATAAACAACTGTAATGAAGCAGACCTTTTAAGTGAGAATTCTAATATTTTTTGGCTTTCATTTATTAGATTTTAAGAATGGATTGATATATTCTTTTACATAATAAATAAAAAATGAGTATTAGTTTGGGTTCTCCAGTCCCAGTATGGTAATTAAAAAATTTTACCAATTTTTATGTTATTATTTAAGTGTTAATTATATTTATTAAGATGGCGATTTTTCTATTGCCCTTTCCAATTACTGTTTCTTCTCAACTTTTGTTAAATGTAACTTACTTATTAGAAGACTACATGTTAATATATTTCCTTTTTGTACAATTCACATGTTTTTAGTTTTAGGCATATCATTTAATCACAAAAATGATTTTCAGGTACTGGGATATTTTTCTAAATTTTTCAAAGATATACTATGTACAGGGAATTCATAAAAAGAACATCTAGTTAAGAGCATATTTTTTAGCATTTCTTATGAATCGCAACAAATTCTACTCTGGAAATCTTAATGTACCTCCTCTGAGAAGGCATTTTGGGTTAGCTACCAACATCCTGACTGATGACATTCACAGGATTAATGAGAAGGTTAGTGTATGCCTTCTGAGGAAACCATGATTTGGATATTGATGCAAGAAGAGAAAACCAATTTGGTTGCAGTGAACCATGGCAGACTGGGGTACAACATTGCTTGAAAGAAATAAAAAAGTACACTGGTCAGAATTTTATCCCTCTATCTCTTATTTCACATCATTTTTCACCTTCAAGTGTGGTGATCTGTGGAAGAATCAGGTTATCCAAAAAGGGCACCATTTATTTATAACTACAAAAATTCTCCAAACTGCTAAAACTTCCTTTCCTTTTGCTTCAGAAATCAAGCAAGTCTGCTTATGGAATGATTCACATGGAAATAATATATAACTTAGCCTTTATTATTATGTAAACTGATTAATGTTAAAGAAAATTGAGCTACATATATTCATCCATTGCTACCAGAGTAAACCCTTATGTTATATATTCAACTATTTTTTTCTGGCTTAATTTCAAATCCAGGGTTTACTAATGGAAATTGATTTATAAAATAAAAATGTTAAATTTTTATTTAAATTCATTTTAAGTAATCTGACAAATGGATCTTTTCTCTTTAGTTTTAAATTTCTTTATCATCATACAGTTATTTGTTAGTTACATGCTTATCATTTCATCAACTAATATTAATATCTTCTGTCTTTTAACTATTTTTACTGTTGGTCTGTGAAGAACTTGCAGGGTTATTCTGCATGCTTTTGATATTGAAGTATGCAACTAAAATAAATATTCCAGAAGCAACTTCAATATAATTGTTTAGTGAAGAATTCACTTCTTGGTTTTGATATGAGATGTCTTGTACTTATCAGAAAATAGCAATGGCCTATTTTCCTGATGCATTTTAATGTCAATCCAGAAAGCAATTAATTTGCTTTACATTTCCATCCCCTCTTTATGCAAAATCTGAGAATAAAACTGCATCATGTTTTCTTCTCTAATTTCTTGTGTTGTAGTAACTTATTTGTGCAATATATAGGCATTAATATTATTAATTTCTTTATCATTCTAATTTTTACACCTGCATTTTTGTTAATACTTGAGTCAGGTATACTTCTTTGTTGGTCCTTTAATGTTTCTCTCTGTGTGTGTGTGTGTGTGTGTGTGTGTGTGTGTGTCTGTGTGTCTGTGTGTATGTAGGCCAAAGCAACTCCATCTTGGATACTAATTCACCATATTGACTTCTGAATAACCCTAGTTCAAGAAAGACCTCTAAGATTTCCAGTTTGTCTATCATTTCTTGTGTAAGAATAGGCACTGACTGTAAATCCTGCCCTTAGGACAAACGACCTCGATGTTATCATGCTTCAGTTGTCCTACACATACCTTCTAATTTACCCTTTCCCTATAGTATATAAGCCCTGGATCCAAGGAATAATGATACAGGCATCCCCCATCTTGTCTTGCTGCTGACCGAGACACAGATGATTGCTTCTGTTCGTAAGTCTTTATTAAATGTTTCCAAGAAACTGAATTTGTCAGCTTCTTTCTTCAGCCTTTCAGCTTCCTTGGACTCTTGGGGGTAGGTTGCATAGACCTGCCCTCCATGGAACAGTGTCCCCTATGCATATATAAATTATATGAGAATGTTTTCTATATAAGTATATGTATTTATTGTATTTTTAGGCTAAAGACACCTAGACAGACTAAATTTAAGCACCTATAACAGGAGTTAGCTGACTATGACTCATGGGCTAAATATGATCTGATGCTAAGTTTTGTAAATAAAGTTTCATCACTTAATGATGAGCAAACATTCTAAGAAATGCATCCCTCTTTAGTCAATTTCACCACTATACAAACACCATAGAGGGTTTAATAAACTTAGATGGTATAGCCTAGTGCTCCTAAGCTACAAACTTGGATAACATCTTACTGTACTGAATACTACAGGCAATTGTAACACAGTGGTAAGTGTTTGTGTGTCTAAATAGAATTAAACAAATGGAAAAATAGAACTACAGTATAAAAGATTAAAAAATGATACACTTGTATGTGCACTTAATATAAATGAAGCTTGAAGGATCACAGTCACATTTGCGAACCGTCATTGCCGGGAACATTCATGACGTGGCACATTACTGTATATTGCCTATGGTGCATTTGCACTACAAAGGCTGAGTTGAATAGTTATGACCAAGACAATAGGATTTACAGAGGCTAAAATATTTGCTATTTAGCCTTTTACAGGAAAAGCTTGCCAACTCCTGACCTAGAAAATTGTCGTATGGTTAAGTATTTAATAAATATTTGTTAAGGGAATGAATTATTAAATTAATATATGAATCAATGAATTTAACAATTGTTAGGTTAAAAATTACTGATCATGGATTATTAACATTGCTTTTATTACTTTAAAATATTTATATATTTTTTAATTCACAAAACTACAAAGATGTTAATAAAAGTAGGCTATTCCCTACTATATAATGGCTTTCCCATATAATGGCTATTGATGTTGCTAAATAAAAACAACACACATATATAATGCAAAAACTGGGTAATTGGTTTTTTTTTTGGTGATTTTATTCAGCAAATAAACTTCATGTATAATTATATGCACATACAAAAACATACAAGAGAACATACCTTTCACTACATTTTATCCCTTATTTTTCCTCTTGGAGATTTTTCCATATTAACACATAGATATCTATCTTCTACCTGTTTTTAACTGCATCGTATTTACTTAAGAGTAGGCACTCTGGAATCAGACTGCAGTGGTTTACATCCCATTTCTACCAATTCAGAGTTGTAGAACACTGGGCAAGAACTTCCCATGTTTGCATTTTTCATCTGCAAAGTAGAGGTATAATTCCAAAATTTTGTGTGGGTTATGTAAAACTATACAAATTAAATGCTAAGAAGAGTAGGTAGCATAGAAAATGCTAAGTGCTAGCTGCTGTTTTTGTTTTTGATAGTATTTTTGGATACTTTAATTGTTCCCAGTATTTTTGTTATTTTTGTTTTGCAAAAGATATCTTTTAAAATATATCTTGGAAAACTTTGATAATCATATCGGTAAAACAAATCCAAGTTGTGGGTTTTCTGAGTCAAAAGGGATATCCCTGTCAATTTTTAAAAAATATTGCCAAATTATTTTTCAGAAATCGTGTTCCAACTTACATTCTCTCTGATGATATGAGCTTCTTTTTATTGCACTCTTGCCTGCAGTGGATAGCATCAGAGTTTTTAAATTTGCCAATTGGATTGGTGAAAATGATTCCTTTTTAATTTCCTTTTTGTAATAAAGGTAGAATATCTTTTCAGGTATTTATTATTGATTTGTACATTTTGGTCTGTAAATACCTGTTCATATCTCATATTCAATACACACTAAGATAGTTTATCTCCTTCCAATTGGATGTATAAGCTCTTCATAAATTAAGCAAAATACATCTGCCTTGTGTAATATAAATAAGCTTTCCTTGGATAATGTATTTTTTTCAGTTGCATTTATGGTATTTTTTTCCTGTACAGAGTAGTTAATTTTTTTAATCAAATTTATCAGTCTTTTGAGGAAGCTAGTTCTGATTTATTTCTCTAGAGATGGGGTTCGTCATATTGGCCAGGCTGATCTTGAACTCCTAACCTCAAGTGATCTACCCACCTTGGCATCCCAAAGTGCTGGGATTATAGGCGTGAGTCACCATGATTGGTTCTGATTCACTTCTTACACATATACTTTCTGTGTCATTTTACTATTTGTAATATCATACATTTGATTACCTAAGTTGAGAAAGCAAATTTCAGCCTAATTTCAGAAAGCAAATCTCAGGGTCATCTCTTCCTCCTATCACAGCCATGATGAAAACTACCTGAAGATGAATGGGATTCTGAAATTAATTTTTATTTAGGGATCCCTGTAAATACACTGATGCCCACAGCTATCAGGAATTCATTCAGACTTAAGGAGGGTCAGGATTATCCCTAATGTTTAATTCCTAGTTTCTAATTCCTTTAGAAAATAAACACTAATCCATTTTAATATTCTGTAACATGTTGGGGCCAGAGTTATAATAGGGGTGGGGCCTTGAACTGGATGTGAGAAATATGAAACAGAAATTTAAGACATTTTAGGACTACAAAGACTATTCTGTAAAATACTTCCAAACTTCTACAGATCTCAGACAAAGGAATGGAATTGGGCCACTATTAAAAACACCGTAAGTTAAAAATAAGGCCACAGGACTTGTATGCTAAGTCCTGTGACCCACCTCAACTGTTAATGTTACCTATATTATCAAACTTGAAGGTTCTTATTGTTTTTAAAATTCTGGATATTTTTCTCATTTCTGAAATATCCTCATTGTACTTCTTCAGTTACCAAGAAGCTATAAAGCCACATATCCATGGAATATTATTGAATGTTATCTTTAGAATAGTATAACACAAAGAAACCTGTTGGTCCAAAGTAATGTGGGCTACAATGGTACCTAATTATAAACAATATAATTTCTTAGGAAATCAGAGCTTTAAAAAATGCTTTGCATAATAATTACTTTAATATTTGAAATATTTAACTAGTTATTTAGAGGAAGAGGGAAAATGATGGTAAATAAAAATTTACCCATTTCATTCATCCATTTACTAAATATTTATTAAACACTAATATGTGTTAATCATTCTGAAAAATACAATGGACATATTAAGATGAGTGAATTATGAAGTTAATTCTCTAGATACTTGTGTTTTACTAGCAAAGACAAACATTACCTTTATAGCCACTTTGATAATTGCCATACATAAGAGTGGCATAAAATCTGAATGATATTTGTTATAATTTTTGTTTTAATCATCAAATGTGATTTATAAAACTCATGAGAAAAAGGAAAGTCTATTGAGTGTATCCATATTTCTGCTCTGTGGTTTCTTCTTCCTTGCCGATGCTCCAAGATTCTTTTATTATTTCCTTTCTCTCTACAGAACTTCTGTTACATGATGTTTAATGGTAAGTTGATTAGCAACAAATTCTTTTAGTTTGCCTTCACCTGAGAATATCTTTAGTTCCCCTTGATTCCTGAAGGATAATTTTTCCAATATAGAATTCATGTTGATGGTGTTTTCCTTTCAATACTTTAAAAACATTATTCTATTTCTTTCTGGCATCCTTTGTTTTATAAGACAAATCTGCTGGCCTTCAAATTGGTGTTTCCCCATAAATAAGATGCCTTTCTCTCTAGGTGCTTTAAAGATTTTTATTTTGTCTTTCATTTTCAAAAGTTTGATTAAGATTTGACTTGCAGTAATTTCTTTGAGTTTATCCTGTTTGGAGTTTACTCAGCTCTTTGAATATGTAATTATGTGTCTTCCATCAAATTTTGGAAGTTTTAAGCCATTAATTATTTGAATATACTTTTAACCTTATTGTCTTTCTCTTTTCCTTCCAGGACTTAGATGATATAAATATCGGTTATTATTATATAGTCTCTTGGGTCCCTTAGACTTTGTTCTTTTTTCAGTATATTTTTCTTATTGCTTAGTGTTAGATGAATTGTATTGGTCTGTCCTCAGTTTCACTGATTGTATTGTCTGTTATCTCACTCTATTATTGTGTCCATCCAGGGAGTTTTCTATTACTGAATTTTTGGGTTCTATAATTTCCATTTGTTTCTTTTAAATAATTTATTTGCTGAAATTTTATATTTTTTATTTGTTGTAAGAGAATTTACAATTGATTGTTGAATCATTTTATGATGGGTCTCTTAAAATCCTTACAGATAATTGTGACATCTAATTCTTCTCAGTTTGGCATCAGTCTTTTCTCTTTATGGTTTTGAACATCTTGGTTTTTGGTATGATGGGCGATTTTTAATTATATCTTAGACATTTCATCTATTTTTTTCTATTTTGTCTGGGTTTTATTTAAATTTTTTTTTATTTTAGCAGACAGTCACTCTGTTTAGGTTCAGCGCACAGTACCTGATCTGTTTTTGAGGGTTAAGGCTCTAATAACAGTTTAATTTTTAGATGCTTTGCAGTGTTACATTAAGCTTTTTGGTTTATCTGGTATCACTGGATATCCTACTTGTGCCTTCTGTTTCTAAATGAGAAGATAGGAGCTGATTCCTGGACTAGGCCATGAGCATTCTCCCAGAGTGATAGGGGAACCTAAAACATATGAAAACAGTGAGGCTCCCTTGCTGTGGCACAGTTAGCTGTCTGAAAGATCTAGAAAACTTTCCAGTCTGGGTTCTTGCTGTGACAAGATTCTCTCTACCAATACACTTTGGCCACATTAGTTTTTTTTAGATGGGCAAGGGAGGGGAGTGTTAGACCCACAGGATCAAAGAGGCTTCTGTGTTGGGCTTCTTGTTGTGGTTAGATTTTTCTTGCTAATGCTACCTCAGCCACCTTGGTGTTTCTCACTGGATGAGGGAAGTTTTGGATCTGGCAGTGAAGGAGAACTTTTTCCTGGTTGCTTAATGTTGATAAGGTTCTTGATTGATCCCATTGATGGTGTTCACTGGATATCCTGCATTTATGATTTTTGTTTTTAATTCTGTTCATGTGATGTATCACATTTATTGACTTGCATATGTTAAACCATCCCTGCATCCCTGGTAGAAATCTACTGGATCATGGTGGATTATCTTTTTGATAATGCTGTTGGATGTTAACTTGTAGTTTTGTTTTTTTTTTTTTTTTTTTTTTTGAGAATATTTTATGTCCTTTCCTGGTTTTAGTATTAGGGGGACTTTTATGTCCTTTCCTGGTTTTAGTATTAGGGGAATACTGGCTTCATGGAATCATTTTCAGAGGATTCCTCCTTTCTTTATATTTTGGAATAGTTTCAGTAAGATTGGTACCAATTATTCTCTGAGTGCCTGAAAGAATTCAGCTGTGAATCCATCTGGTTCTGGACTTTTTTTGTTGGCAATTTTTGTTATTACTATTTTAATCTTGCTACCTGTTATTGGTCTGTTCAGAGTTTCTATTTTTTTCCTGATTTAATCTAGGAGGGTTGTATATTTGGAGGATTTTTTCCATCTCCTCTAGATTTACTTGAGGTCTTCATAGTAGCCTTGAATGATCTTTTGTATTTCTGCTGTATTGGTGTAATATCTCCTGTTTCATTTCTAATTGAGCTTATTTGGATCTTCTCTGTTTTCTTGAGTAATCCTGCTAATGGTCTATCATTTTTGTTTATCTTTTCAAAGAATCAGCTTTTTGTTTCATTTATCTTTTGTATTATTTTGCTTCAATTTCATTTAGTTCTGCTCTGATCTTTGTTATTTCTTTTCTTTTGCTGGGTTTGGATTTGGTGTGTTCTTGTTTCTCTGTTTCCTTGAGGTGTGACCTTAGATTGTCTGTTTCTGCTCTCTCAGACTTTTTGATGTAGGTATTTAATGCTATGAACTTTCCTCTTTACACCACTTTTGCTGTATCCCAGAGGTTTTGATAAGTTTTGTCACTATTATCATTCAGTTCTAAGAATTTTTAGATTTCCATCTTGATTTCATTGTTGATGCAAAGATCCTTCAGGAGCAGATTATTTAATTTCCATGTATTTGTATAATTTTGAGGGTTTCTTTTGGAGTTAATGACCAGTTTTATTACACTGCGTTCTGAGAGGGTAGTCAATATAATTTTGATTTTCTTAAATTTATTGAGACTTGTTTTGTGGTCTATCATGTGGTGTATCTTGGGGAATGTTCCATATGCTAATGAAAATAATGAGCATTCTGCAGTTGTTGGGTAGAATGTTCTGTAAATACCAGTTGAGTCCATTTGTTCTAGGGTATAGTTTAAGTCCATTGTTTCTTTGTTGACACTCTATCTTGATAACCTGTATATCTAGTGCTGTCAGTGGAGTGCTGAAGCCCCCCACTACTATTGTCTTGCTGTGTATCTCATTTCTAATGTCTAGTAATAATTGTTTTATAAATTTGGGAGCTCCCATGTTAGGTGCATATATATTTAGGATTATGATATTTTCCTGTTGGACTGATTCTTTTATCATTGTATGATGTTTCTCTGTGTCTTTTTTAACATTGTTGCTTTAATGTCTGTTTAATCTGATATAAAAATAGCTATACCTGCTCACCTTTGGTTTCCATTGCATGGAATATCTTTTTACATCTCTTTACCTTAAGTTTATGTGAGTTTGTATGCATTACTTGAGTCCCTGGACAGTGTTTCCTGTCTTTTTCTCCAACCAAATAGTCCTAAATGGCCCATTGCACTGGGAATAATAACACTCTAAGTTGACTATGAGAAGCAGTGATTACACTAGGATGTTTTTCTGTCAGTTCATGTGAAAATAGCAGGAACTCTTGGTTAAGCAAATATATTTTCCAAATTTGTAAAGTGAAGGCTCAATGCTGCTAATTTTTAAAGGTTCTGTTAATTCAATTTCTGTTAATGGCTGCATCATGATGAGACTAGTTCTCTACTTTAGTGTAGCATTGTAAAGGGCCTGCTAGTTAACTGACAGTGTACAGTAGCTATTCTTTTAATTTGTTCTGAGGGATCCTAAAAACACCTCTTCCATTGCTACTTTAGAAATTTTTGTAGTTGATAATGGGGTGGAGCTGGTAGCTGGCTATTGTGAAAATTAGTGTTCTGGACACTTATCTCTTCTTCTAGTGGTTAGAAATTTCCTATAAGTCTGTTTGCAGTCTTGGCAAGAAACCATGACAGCTGAAATCATCAAATCTACATTTGCTTACAAGTTGACAAATGATGAGACTTAACAAGTAGAATCACAGTAATAATGTAAAGGCATTTTCATCAGTAATGTCAAGAATTTTATGTTTCTGCAAAAAAATACATTTCCCAGAATGTTTTACCGATAAGCAAACTACAGTGTTCAAAAAGATCAGGAAATTGTCACATTCTTGGTAATATTTGGCAGTTTGCAGACCTTTTTTCCTCCCAGCTTATGATAGCATTTCACATAGCACTGACCTCATTTATCTCCACTCTGCAGTGTAAATAATATAGAGCTTGCTAGTGAGTCAGTTAACCTAAAATTTATATTTTGATAGCTTTTAGGATTACTACTGGCATTTGTTTGCATTCAGTAAATACAGCAGTTGAACTTATAATTGTGCCACAAATTTACTTATCATTCTAGCCTATATCTTTTGCTCAGTTATGTGGACTGTGTTCTGATTTAGGCTTTTTCTTTCCCATTTCTCAAAAATACTCTTTCTGAGAAATCATATTTCATATTTGTCAGAGAAATAGATTTATTGATGGTTGACAAAAACATAATCAGAAAGATAAAATTATGAGTATGATTAGCAGATGAAAGAGAAACATTAGAATATATAGGCAAACAAATTTTTATTATAATAAAGATAATATCTTCTACTTATTACTGAATTGACTCACTTTTGTCTTCATTCACTATTGCTTGCCATGACATTTTTACCAAAAAAGTGTTGTTTATATTGCATCATGATGTTTACTATTTTTTCAAGCTTATCACTGAATTGATTTTCTAATCCACTAACTGATTCAACCAACAACGCGTATTTGACAAATACACTGATTAGGTGTATGCACATTATATAGATATTGGCAGTTTGTTGTTTAGAAAACATTTGCAGAAAGTATTGGTTCTAAAGTCAATGTCTGACTTCTTGCATAATGAGAGGGAACCATAGAGCAGAAGTAGGAGATGGGGTTGGGGCAGAGGGGGTGGTTCCAGGAGCCAGTGTTGAATGTAGCTGCAGATGCTTGGCAAAAAGAAAATTATTTTAAGGTTAAATTTCTATTTAAAATAGTTATAAAATAATAAGACCAAATAAGAAATAATTATAAACTCGGAACAGAATAAGTGGAATAATTTTTTTCCCATTGTGGACACTGGAAAGATTCCTAGAGCTACTAGATGTAGGAAACAGGAATTTATGGCCAGGCTGGAAGGATAATGTGAAGCTTTCAGATCAGATCAGCCAAAATACAATTATAATTCTTTGGAACTTTAGATCCTTTGACAGATGTTTTATAAAATAATCTCATTTTCTGAATATTTTCTAAGCACGTTATAGCTATTTTGAAAAGAATTTCAAGGATCTGGTTTCAGAGCATACAGTTCTCCTGTCCCATTTGTGTTTGACCATAATATTACAATAATCATTTTTCTCCTGGCTGAACGGCAAGGTGAAATTTAATTGATGAGTTAAATGATAAATGTTCTAATAAGATGCTAGATATTTAGACTTTATAGTGTAATTAATAGTTCCAAATTATTTTTGAAAGTAGGCTGAGTCCAGACTTACATGTAACTATCATCATTATTAGTTAAGTATAAATTAATCTAAACTTACACTGCCTAATCTGCTTTTAAATGATTTCTGCATTGTTCTCCGTAGCTACAGAGTTAGGCCAAATATAATTTTTAGTAAGTGTTATAAATTTTCCTAAAACTAGTTGGCTAATGGGTAAAAGCAGAGACTCCAGAGATATGCCTGGGTTTGAATCTTGGTTATGTTACTTAAAAGTGCTAACTGCCCAAGCTTGTAATCCTTTCACTCTTTGTGGTGCTTCTGGAGTGGCATTGCTCAAAAAAACTTTCTGAGAGAATGGAAATATTTCTTATTACCTGTCAGTTGAGCAACTAAAGTGTGTTTAGTGTGACCAAAGAAATGAATTTGTAATTTATTTTAATATTAATTCATTGAAATGGAAATAGCCACAAATGGCTAGTGGCTACTCTATTAGACACCACAGCTCTAGAGTGTAAAAGTGAAAAATTAACCATCATTACAATCATATCCAAATAAATATAAGTAAATAAATGAAAAACCTTAACTTTTAATCAAAATTTATAATTGTATTTTTTCTGATTAAAAAACCCTGAATTTACTCATAGGAAAATGCAAAGGAACGCATATTTTTTACAAAGCAGGCTTTAAAATGAGCCTTGATGTTTATTTGAAATACCTGTATCTCCATGAAAATTTAATTATATTTCACATAATGAATCAGACTCTTCATCAACATACCTGAAAAATTAGTGAGAATAAAGTATTTTGTTAACTGACCCAACCCACATCAAATGGTGGTTGTCTTGCACTTAAATATTTAGCTAGGATAGAGTAGGATTATAGTCATAAACTTTCCTTTTTCTTTAAAGCAGTTTGTCGTTATTTGGAGGCTGGAAGTTTTCTTGATTAGTAATTAAAATAGTATTTCTTTGAGGAATTTAAATAATTCTCTTTGTGTGTGTGTGTGTGAGAGGGAGAGAGACAGAGACAGAGAGACAGAGACAGAGAGACAGAGAGGGTGAAATGTTTACCATGGCTTCTAATAATCTATGTAGGAAACCATTCATGATTGATCCTTCTTAAACAATCAAGTAAATAAGTAGGAGAATCTTTAAATTTCCTTTAGAGATATGTGTACAAAATTTATTCTAAGTAATATTCTGTCAGATAATCTTTATGTCTTGTTCTATAGCAGTGATAATATTATTATATCATATAATCATTATAACTTGTATTATATAAATTATATGTGTATGTCACCTGGTGATTCTGATAAGGTATCTTCTAAAATGAGTGAGTTAACGCTGTCTTATGACTTTATTGCAGAATAAATACGGACAATGAGTGTCTTCATTTTGACTGCTGCTGAAGAGCTACCTAATTCTTATAGTGTAATAATTGGCTATTTGGAATGGTATTATTTTGACTTCGGTTAATTAGTATAGTTTATTACACACCAGTGCATTAAATACCCACTGAAAAAGTTAATATATTTACCAGAGTGATGAAGATCATGAGTAAGCTGTCAATCCAAGCTTTCTTTCATTATTTCTATTTTCTATCAGTTAGATTGGGCATTTATAATTAGTGATAGATAAATAAAGTGTTGATATATAACACTTAATTTTGATGGCTATATGTATAAGTCTACAACTTATGGGATTAGTGGTTTCAATAAAAGATTTGGTCAATTGTAAAATATAATTGGTTTTTTAATTGCACAGTTTACCTCAATTAGTGTGCAAAATTTTATAAATCTGATTAAATGAGAGAAAATCAAGCTCCATTATTGGAGACCAGAGCATGAACTTAATGAATGTAGATCACCTTAGTGTGGTACACTTTAAAACACAGCCAAAGGGAGATCTATGCAAGTAAATAGATGAATTAAAAGTTTGTTTCTTTTGTAAAGGTGGCAGAAGTTCCAATTTAGAAGATGAAGGGCCAGAGTTTTGAAGTTTCACCAGCAATATTTAATTTTAATCCATTCTTAACTTTGTGATTATTTTAAAATGGAGTTTAAATATAAATGGACCTTGTAAAATTAAGTAATAAATTTAGCAGAAAATTTTTCAAACAAGATAAGTATTTTATTCACTCCAAAACTCCTATTTAGATATATTTCAAATTTTGAGATTAAATTTTTTCTAAGATGCTTAGAAAATTTTTTAAGATGCTTTCCTGAATAGGATAATTAGTCAAAATAGTTAATATTTTAACTCCCATAGATAATGTTTTGTATATTCAGGGTGTGTATGTATGTGTATTCACATATATACTATAAAGCTCCTGTGTATCTCAATATGTACTTTTCTACTAATAGGAAAGCAACATTGAACACACTTAGATATCATTTAATAGCCATAACTAATGATTATTATTATCAACTTACTAAAAATTCATGCAAGTTCTTTGCAGAAGTAGGTGTTTTGTCTAAAAGTCACTTGCAATTTAAAGATTGATTATTGTAGATATTTTCTTCTTTTCTCACTTAAACTTGAGTTCTTAGCTGAAAACAGATGAGTGATTTATTTTTTAGATGGCACTGATATTGTTCGTTTGATGCTAAATGAGTAGGAAAATTTAAAATTCTTAAATCTTAATTAATTCTGCTCCCAGACATTTTTAAATTTTCAGTTCCTAGCCAGTGGAGGCCTGACTATGCCATAGCTTTGAACCCAATACCTAAGTAACGAGGTGCTTAATATAGGTAAGATCAATTTTAGATTGCTGTAAGAAGAAGAACTACTCTCACAATTAGAACTTCTGATTTAGTTAATATTTACTGGAACCCTTTCTTTTTGGTTTAAACCATTGTTGAAAATTGCAGGGAAATTGGCTATTATGTGGATAAAGGGGAAAAAACTCAACAAACCAAAACTCTTGGTTTTTCTCTCTGCTATGTTCATGCCAATAATTCTGGCAAAAAAAAAAAAAAAGTGTGGGTTTGTTTTCACACCAAGTAAGTCTCCAATTCTATGCAGACATCAACTGGGTGTCCTACAACTCAGTTCAATTCTGACGTTATCTACCTGGAGTTAGCTTTAGATTCCATGGATTAAGGGCTCAGTTCCATAACACTGCTCCCTTCTTCAGATGCAATTGAAGTATTGGATCCTCAGGCTACCCACTACTTCTGTCTCAGTTGGCTACATATTGAAACTTCCCATGACCTCCTCTTTAGGCCAGATAATTTGGTCATAGAAAACAGTAAAACTCTAGTTTCACTCACTAGAAACCCCATATTTACCAAAAATACACAAATTTAGCTGGGAGTGGTGGCACACATCTGTGGTCCCAGCTACTCGGGAGGTTGAGGTGGGACAATCGCTTGAGCCTGGGAGGTGGATGTTGCAGTGAGCCTTGATCACAGCACTGCACTCCAGTCTGGGTGACAGCATAAGAGACTCCATCTCAAAAAAAAAAAAAAAAAAGAAAGAAAGAAAGGATAAATTATTTTCCTTTGGTAAACTGAGAGGTTAATTAAATCTAACAGGAGGCGTGTTATATTCGTAATATCTTCTTGCCAGTGTGTAATTCTATAAATTTCTGAAAATGGATATATGTCTGCAAAGATAATAACTTTATTTTTTGAGGACCTTTAGTATATTTTGGATTATAATTTTTGAACATCCATGATCATTATTAACTGTATTGTATACATTACTGACAGTTATTGTTGAAATTAACAATTAACAATTAAAATAGTTTAGTTAAGTACTTTATAATTAGTGTTAAGAGAAATCTGTCCTGGTTAATAGATGTGAAAAGAAAGAAAAAGATGAACTATTTATTTTTATATGTTTGTTTTAGATTCAGGAATACATGTGCAGGTTTGTTATATGACATATGGTATGAGGCTGAGGTTTGGGGTATGATTGATCCTGTCACCCATGTACTGAGCATAATACCCAATAGGTAGTTTTTCAGTCCTTACCACCTCCCTCACTCCCCTCTCTAATAGTCCCAGTGTCTGTTGTTCCCATGTTTAAGTCCATGTGTACCCAATGTTTAGCTCCCACAACTGAGAACAGGCGGTATTTGTTTTTCTGTTTCTAGGTTAATTCATTTAGGATATTGGCCTCCAGCTGCATCCATGTTGCTGCAAAAAGTGTGATTTTTTTTTATGGCTGTTGGTGTTCCATAGTGTATATGTAACACATTTTATTTGTCCAGTCCTCCACGTATGGATACCTAGGTTGATTCCATGACATTGCTATTGTGAATAGTATTGCAATGAACATAAAAGAGCATGTGTCCTTTTCATAGAATTATTTCTTTTCCTTTGGCTGTATACCCAGTAATGGGACTGCTAGGTTGAATGGCAGTTCTAATATTAGTTCTTTGAGAAATTGCCAAACCACTTTCCACAGTGGCTGAACAAATTTACATTACCATCAACAGTGTATGAGTGTTCCCTTTTCTCCTCAGCGTTACTAACATCTGTTATTTTTTTACTTTTTAGTAATAGCCATTCTGACTGGTGTAAGATGGCATATCATTGTGGTTTCAATCTGCATTTCTCTGATGATTAGTGATGATGAGCATTTTTCATATGTTTATTGGTAGATCTTCTTTTGAGAAGTTTCTGTTCATGCCCTTTGCCCAGTTTTTAATGAGGCTATTTGCTTTTTACTTGTTCAATTGTTTAAGTTTTTTATAGATTTTGGACACTAGACCTCTGTGAGATGCCTCATTTGTGAATGTTTTCTCTTGTTCTGTAGGTTGTATATTTTCTATGTTGATAGTCTGTTTTACTGTGCAGAATCTCTTTAATTTAATGAGGTACCACTTGCCAATTATCATTTTTGTTGCAGTTGCTTTGGAGGACTTAATGATAAATTCTTTGTCAAAGCCAGTGTCCAGAAGGGTATTTTCTAAGTTTTCTTCTAGGATTTTTTATAGTTTTAGGTCTTTAATTTAAGTCTTTAATCTATCTTGAGTTAATTTCTTTAGATGATATGTAGAGGTCGATTTCATTCTTCTGCATATGGCTAGCAAGTTATCCTAGCACCATGTATTGAAAAGGGAGTCCTTTCCCCATTGCTTATTTTTGTCAACTTTGTCTAAGTGTGTGGCTTTATTTCTGGGTTCTCTATTCTGTTCCATAAGTCTGTGTGCCTGTTTTGGTGCCAGTTGCATGCTGTTTTGGTTACCATAGCCTCGTAGTATGGCTTGTAGTCAGGTAATGTGATGCCTCTAACTTTGTTCTGTTTTGTTAGGACTGCTCTGGCTATTGGGGCTTTTTTTTTTTTTCATTCCATATATATTAGTATAGTTTTTTTCTAATTCCGTGAAAAATGACCTTGGTAGTTTGATAGCAATATCATTGAATCTGTAAATTGCTTTGGGCAGCATGGCCATTTTACCAATATTGATTCTGCCTATTCATGAGCATGGATTGTTTTTCCATTTGTTTATATCATCTATGATTACTTTCAGCAGTGTTTTGTAGTTCTCCTTATAGAGATCTTTCACCTCCTTGGTTAGATATATTTCTAGATTTTTTTATGCATGTGGCTATGGTAAATGGGATTGCATTCTCTATTTGACTCTCAGCTTAAACATTGTTGCTATACAAAAATGCTAGATTTTTATATATTGATTTTGTGTGCTAGTACTTTACTGAAGTTATTCATCAGTTCTAGGGGCTCTTTGGCAGAGCCATTAGGCTATTTGAGGTATAGAATCATATTGTCAGTGAAAAGAGATAATTTGACATCTTCTTTTCCTGTTTAAATGCCTTTTATTTATTTGTCTTGCCTGATTGCTCTGGCTAGGACTTCTAGTACTATGGCAAATAAGAGTGGTGAGAGTGGGTATCCTTTTCTTGTTTTAGTTCTTAAGGGCAATGCTTTCAGCTTTTGCATGTTTACTATGTTGTTGGCTGTGAGTTTGTCATAGATGGCTCTTATTATGTGTTCCTTTGATGTCCCATTTGTTGTGGGTTTTTATCATGAAAATATGTTAGATTTTTATCAAAAGCTTTTTCTGCATCTATTGAGATGATCATGTGGTTTTTGTTTTTAATTTTGTTTGTGTGGTGAATCACATTTATTGACTTGTATATGTCGGACCAACCTTAAATTTTAGGAATAAAGCCTACTCGACTTTGGTGAATTAACTTTTTGATGTGCTGCTGGATTTGGTTTGCTAGTATTTTGTTGAGGATTTAGATATTGGCCTGTTGTTTTCTTTTTTCATTGTGTCTCTACCAGGTTTTGGGATCAGAATGATGCTGACTTTGTAGAATGAGTTGGGGAGGAATCATTCCTCCTTGATTTTTTCAGAATGGTTTCAGAAGAATTGGTACCAGTTCTTCTTTGTATGTCTGGGAGAATTGGGTTCTGAGTCTATCTGGTCCAGGGCTTTTATTCATTGTTAGGTTTTTTTTTATCACTGATTCAATTTTGGAACTCATTAGCAGTCTGTTCAGCATTTTGATTTCTTCGTGATTCAATCTGGGGAGCTTGTGTGTTTCCAAAAATTAATTTTTTTTTCTGAATTGTCTAGTTTGTATTCATAGAAACATTCATAGTAGTCTCTAAGGATCTTTTGTATTTCCGTGTGATTTTTTTGTAATTTCACCTTAGTCATTTCTGATTGTCCTTATTTGGACCTTCTTTTTTCTTTGAAGATTAACTATTAAATAAAATTTTTTACATATACATTGGAAACTTTTTAGAGTTCTTAAAATAGTGATGAAGTGGGATGCAAAAAACACTATCCCAAAATATGGCATCTTAGCATACTTAATCATTTAACCCGAAAGAAAGTTAAAAATCCACAGAAGCAGAAAGGTCTTTCTGACCTCCTCCCACCACTTTTTTGCTGAAAAGGATCATGAAAACCAGAATTCTACCAGCCCCTTTCACCCTGAAACAAACCATAAAACCTGGGACGGTTACTCTCTGATGTAATCCCTCTCTTCTCCTAAAGGCCTTCATGTGACAAGTGTCTGTCCTAAACCCAGAGAGATGGAGTTTGACACAGAGATGCCAAAAAGAATCTGAACAAGCAAGCCTTGCTGAGTTCCCCTCAGTTTATTATCATTAAGTCATACTCTTTTGTCTGCCAATCATACTTTTTTTTTTTACAACTGTCTATAAAGATAAATTGTTTTCTCTGGGTCTTTTCTATCTTCATTTCTGAAGGTTCCTGTGTCACATAAAACTTATATAAATTTGTATGTTTTCCTCTTGTCAATCTGTCTTTTATTTTAGGGATGTCAGCCATGAACCTTGCAATGAGTGAAGGAAGAAATATTTTCCCTTCTACAATAGTTGTATACTTCAGCTCTCTAGAAGTGACTTTTTTTTAACAGAGGGTTTCACGAGTTTATTTAAACACATAATTATTATTTCTTAGAGATTAATAATTATGTTCCTCAACTGCAGTCACATGAAGTACTCTGTGATAGGTAGAATAAAGTCCCCTCAAAACTATCCATGCCCTAATCCCTGGAATTAGTAAATGTGTTACCTTCATGGCAAATGAAGATTCTTCAGATCCGTAAGAAAACTTGTTGAATCCTAGAGGGGTCCTGTTAACAATTCCTTCATTATCTTGTCATGCTTCAAGGCCCAGGAAAAGCCTAGGCAAAACTCTTGGTGGGCTTTTGTTACATTCCAGGCTTTGTATAAGGGCACTGGCTCTATCAGCTTTTAATATTTAACTTAACCACTCAGTCAGTGCTGACATATTTGTCACAGAGGCCTGCCATTTCAGCTGTTAGTGAGACCTGGCCTGCCACATTAGCTCATAATGCTTTATAATTTCCACTAAGCCATGCTTCCTATAGATGAAGAAAATGATAATTAATATATGTGGATATGTAGATATTGAGGACATTTTAAAATTTATTTATTCATTTATGTTTCAAATATCATTGTTTTAAATTGTCTTTTTCTCCCCATAGAAGAGTGCAGACAATTTCAATTAAAGTTCAAAACTTTAAAATTTGTTTATATTTCCATTTTTTATATTATAATTTAAAATGATTACTATGTTAATAATAAATATATAATAAATCCTTGTTTCTACCATGCAGCCTTTATAGCTAACACTGAATGTTTCCTTCTTTTCTCTTCAGATTTCACACATGGTGATTTAAAGCTATCTCGTTTTATTTGACTTTAGGCATCTGACAGAATTGCCAGAATTGGTCTGTTACTTGTGCGGTTTGGGTGAATAAATATGCTATTGAGTTGTAGAGCTTATTTAAAACCTTATATTAGCTATAGTTTTTATTTTATAATACATATAACAATTTTCATTTTATCAAAGTAAGTTTTATATAACGTGTATAGTTATTTTCCAATTATAAAAAGTTTGCTATAGAAATTAGGAAGAATTACAGAAAAATAATAAATTCAGAAACTTGAGGTAAAGAAGAAAATTAAAAATTACCCATATAGAAGAATGAAAATGCATATCGTATTTAGGCTCAGAAAATGTCTGAGGCATTTTTATTAAGCCACTGCAGAGGGACGATAACAAACTAGGCTTCTGTCTTAACAACTACAAATTACCCTGAGGATTTTTCTAGTGTTAAAGATAAAATACCTAACTCTACATGGGATAAAACTAGTTAAACGCCTATTGAATTCATTTTGCATTCATTTACATATGAATTTGAATAATAGTAGGTAAAATTTATTAAAAAATTATCATCTCTAATACTAACCATGTTTTCTTATTTCTCCTATTTAAAGTATGTTTCACAAAACCTTGACATCCATATAAACCAGAAATGAATGGAAATTGGGATTCTGTTTTAGTGTTCAGTGCTAAATGTACTATTCACCTTCAACTTCAGGTCTCACAGTTTGGAGGATAGAATGGGAAAATGCTGATTGCAAGTTATTTCCGACATCCTTGAACTTACCTGTGAGTAGCAGTCATGGGATCATGTGGGTTTACAAAAGCACACTATCATTTGCATAAATAAGGCATGATATTTCCCTTATGTTAATAACCAAAGATTCATTTTCAAATATAAATAAACATACAAGATGTCATTTAGAATGTGCATTATATTTTGAAATTTTGTCATGACTTTAGAGATTTCAAAAACTGTTCTTATATGAGATGTTCAACTTATACAAGATCTTCAACCAAGATATAATAGCTGCTGCATGTAAAAAAGTTACTTGAAAGAAAGAGAAAATCTTAACAAATCTATGATGACAGGAATGAGTAATAAGCAGTGGTTACTAACAGAGAAAATAGTTTGTTGGAAACTGCTGAAGTAACTGAATGGCTGTATCTTGAGAGTACAGGTATTTCTTACATGATACACAGTCCACAGATCCTCCTGCCATTTCACTCCATGGTCATACTGAAAAAATGAATCAAATGAAAACTGAAATGCAGACAAGTGATTGTGTAAACAAGCAAGTGCATGCAAAAGTATTAGAAATAAAATACATAGTTAAGACCAATAGTCTGATGAGAACCTTAAAAATGTTCAGAAAGCATTGTATTCAAGCAGTGTACAAAACTTCATTTTGAGCGATTATTTCACTTAATTTGCCACACCATTGTGTAGCAAATGGTGAAGTCCAGGAGTTAAGAAGAACATAGATATATACCTTGGATAGTTACTAATCAAGTAATAAGCTTGGTGACAATGTCATACATATACTTGCAGAAAAAGCCAAAAGATATGTCAACGAAAAGAGTCAAACTAAAATATTTGAAGAGATTTATTGTGAGCCAAATATGAATGACCATGGCCCATGACACAACCCTCAGGAGGTCCTGAGAACTTGTGTCCAAGGTGGTCGGGGCGCAGCTTGGTTTGATACATTTTAGGGAGGCATGATACATCTATCAAATACATTTAAGAAATACATTGGTTTGGTCCAGAAAGGTGGGACAACTCAAGACAAGGACTTCCAGGCTACAGGTAAATTTAAATGTTTTCTGGTTGACAATTGGTTGAGTTTATCCAAAGACCTGGGATCAATAGAAGGGAATGTCTGGGTTGCTATAAGAGGTGGTGGAGAGCAAAGCTTTACCAGGTAGATGAAACTTTTAGCTGGCAGGCTTCAGAGAGAATAGGTTGTAAAATGTTCCTTATCAGATTTAAAGTCTGTGTTGATGTTAGTGCCGTAGAGGTATAATGAGGCACGTTCGACCTCCACTTCCCTTCATGGCCTGAAACAGTCTCTTGGGTTAAATTTTAAGAGCCCTGGCTGTCAGGTGCTGCATTCAGATGGTTGGGGAGCCTTAGAACTTTATTTTTGGTTTATGGATACTAGTCCTTCTACCAGTTTCAGTCGAAGGCTATCATCTATTGAATTTCACATATTTACAGTAACAAGACTAATTATTTTACCTGTGCTATAATGTCAAACTTTTAATAATTAATACTTATATTTGGGGAAATAAAAATTTAAAAATAATTAAAATTATTTTAATTACATTTAAATACTATACCATCCAAGAAGTTCAACTTTAGCATTATATTAAATGTTTTAACCATGTATTTTTAAATATTTTACAGAAAGATGGCAACAAAAGTAGAAAGTTTTTGGAACCAGTTGAGATTAAGTTCTGCAGGGGAAAAATAAACCCCATAGGACTGAAATGAACCCCTGTAACGAAAGACTGATTAACACAAAAAAGACAAACAGAAGTTTATGAATGCGTATATTTCACAGATATGTGGAAGACACCCAAGGAATGAGTAGTTCTCAGATGGCTTTGGATTCCAGTTTACATAGCATCTTCAATAAAAAATAACAAATTTTTAGAGAAGTGAGAAATCAAAGGAAAAAAACCTTTGAGTCTGTTGAGGCAGCAACTTGGGGGAAGGCTAATAAGTGGTAGATAAAGGTTAGTGAGTAAACCTTGTTAATGTAGATTCCTCTGTACCATCTCCATTTCCATAAGACTCCAAAATTGTCTTCAGTGGTTAACCTTTGTTCCCCCTGGTAGCAGTGGGAGTGGGGGCAGGAAAAAAAAAAAAACTTTTGTTTTTGCAAATCTAGAATACCTAGAGTGGGCCAGGATAGCTAGAGTAGAGAGTGGTATCTTTTATCTTTGGCCTGCTTTTAGGCAAATTGAGGACGGGCAAGGAGATTTCCTGTGTCTTCTTGTTAGTTGTCTTCAGCTCAACAATCATTTATATTTTGGGGAAGAAAATCCTGACTTCCCATAGTTGTATACATCATGCCACCCCAATGCCTTGAAATTTTAGTGTGCATTTCCAAAGAATAACAATATATGTATTATAAAACCGAGTTTAGCTATCAAATTTAGAAAAGGTAACACTGATAGAATAGCTTTAGGTAATTAATAATTCACACTTTAATTTTGTCCATTATCACAATAATGTTATCTGAAGCATTTTTGGGAAATACAATATTCAATCCAGGATCTTATACTGCATTTAGTTTTCATGTATCTTTAGTTTTCTTTAATCTGAAAGAGGCTTTGTCTTTCATGACAGTGACAATCCTTAAAAAATTGAGAAATGTTTCTCAATTTGGGTTTTTCTGGTATTTCCTTATGATTAGCATCAGATTATGTACTTTTTGTTGGAGTAATATATAAGTAATGTATGTACTTTTCAGGATATATTACATATGGAGGCACATAATTACTATTTGTCTCTTTTTGATGAGATTAATTTTCATCATTTGGTTAAAATTTTGCTCATTTTCTCCACTGTATAGATATCATTTCCTTTTATAATTAATAATTTATAGGGAGATACTTTGAGACTGTGTAAATATTCTGTTCCTCATTAACTTTTCCTTACCTATATTTAGCATCAATTGATGATTTTTATCCACTCCAATCCTTAATATAATGGTTATCAAATAAAATCTTTTCCAACCCTGCCACTAATTTCAATTATATTATTAGCTATTTACTATAAAGAAGAGCCCTCCCTTCTACTTTACTTGTTAATCTACTATCAATTTATTATCAGTATGAACTAATGGATTTCTGTTATATTCAGTTGATTCTAATCCATCACTGTGTCAGAGGCCTTTGAATCGAGGCGATTCCATCTTGAATAGGGGCTGGGTTAAGGCTGACACCTGGGCTGCATTTCCAGGAGGTTAGGCATTCTTAGTCACAGGTTAAGATAGGAGGTCAGCACAAAGTACAGGTCATAAAGACGTTGCTGATCAAATTGATTGCAGCAAAGAAGCTGGCCAAAACCAAGATGGTGACAAAAGTGACGTCTTATTGTCCTCACTGCTCATAGTACACTAATTATAATGCATTGGTATGCTAAAACACACTCCCAGGAGCACCATGACAGTTTACAAACGCCCTGGCAATGTCCAGAAGTTACCTATGTGGTCTTAAAAGGGGAGAAAACTTCAGTTCCAGGAATTGCCCACTCCTTTCCCAGAAAACTCATGAGTAATCCACCAATTGTTTAGCATATAATCAAGAAATAACTACAAGTATACTCAGTTGAGCAGCCCATGTCTCTGCTCTGCCTATGGAATAGCCATTCTTTTATTCGTTTACTTAATAAACTTGCTTTCACTTTATGGACTTGCCTCAAAGTCTTTCTTGCACGATGCCCAAGAACCCTTTTTTGGGGTCTGGATTGCTACCCCTTTCCAGTAACAACTGCAAAACAAAACAAACAAACAAAAAAAAAAACAAAACAAAAAACAAAAGAAAGAAAAGAAAAGAAATTAATGTTCATTCACATTTGGCCAGGGCTAACCCCTTCAAACAACTGCTAGGATCTTTTGACATGCCTCTACCCATCATTTGTTGTTGTTGTTTGTTTGTTATTAGCACTTTTTGGGAATGTAATTTCTGGTACAAGAGAATGTTTGGGATCATTTTGTATCTTCCTTGCTCAAGTTCTGGACTCAGTCATTTGTTTGGGTAGCCTGTTTTTTTTAATTATTATTATCTATTGCTCTTTGCTCCTTTGTTTTTTAGTGGGTAATAGTATTTAGAAATTAAGATCTGGGTGCTAAATGTGCTCATTGCTACTGCAGTATGTATGGTTGTTTCCAGCCCTCTCAGCAGAGTGCATGTGTGTGTGAGAGAGAGAGACACACACACACATATATATGTCAATACTTGTCTCCATTCACATGATCACCCACTACAGGGCTCTTGTCTTTCTCCCTTCCACTATTACATACTCATAACTTGATTCTTCCAATGTGAGATGTAACATCAACACATTTACTCATTTGCTTAACCATGTCCTGAAATCAACAACACATTTATTCACTTTATCAACAGTACCATGCACAAAAAAAGTTTCAGGATGGTAATACCCAATATATCTGTGAAAAAGAAAAAGAAAAAACAACCTACTAAGACGAGTTCAAAATTTGTTTATGTTTTCTTTTCTTTTGGACTAATTTTTTTTAAAGTATGTTCAAACGCTGGGCATTAGTTTTGTTTATGTTTTTGTTTTTCCCTCTCAGTGTGGCTATGTTATTCATTTGAAATGAAAGTTGGTTCATTTGTCACTGTTTGCATCCACTATGTTTCTAATATGAAAAACACTGCTGTGCTTCTAAAAGTCAAAACTATGCAACAGTGTATACTTGGAGAAACTGTATTCACTCCAACCTTTTCCACCTGGTTCAATAGGGCTCCTACTCTTTGTAGGTAAATAATTTCTTGATTTCTGGTTTATCATTCTTCAGTTTCTTTTGTTAAATGCACATATCTATATATTCTTTTGCTCCTATTTCCTTACACAAAGGTCATATAATGTACATATGCTATACACATATACAACATGCGGTATATCTTTTATTCTTTATTTTATCTATATGTAATATACAATATATCTTTTGTCCTTTGATGTTTTACACATGTTAATGAAGAACCCTCCATATCAATTCATAGAAAACTTCCTTACTCTTCTTACAGCCACATGGAACTTCAATGTGTAAATCCAGCATAGTTTATTTAACCAATTTCCTATATTTGGACATCCCAGTATTTTGCAATTGTAAATATTGCTGAAATTAATAGCCTTGTGCAAATCTCTTTTCTTATTGTTGGCCTAATATGTTCAGGATAAACTCCTGAAAGTCAGATTATGGGGAGAGGGGAGAAAGGGAATATATATATATACATATATATATAAAATTATATATATAGTATTGTTAGATATTGCTAAATTCCTCTATTTCGGGATTGCACCAATTTGCATTCTCACCAGCAATATATGGGAGTGCATATTTCCACACAGCCTCACCAACAGTATGTACTGTTCAGGTTTTAAAATTTCCCAGTCTGGTAGTTGAGAAATAGTTTCTCAGTACAGTTTTAATTTAGCAGATATGTAATTTAAAGGGTGTGTGTGTGTGTATGTGTGTGTGTGTGTGTGTGTTACAGCTATGACTACCTTAAAGTAAGCTATTGTTTTGGGATATGGGGCAATAAAAATAGTGTAAAATCCAGCCTGATAAACTATGTAAGGATTAGATTAATGTTATGAAATTTTAGGGGCCATTTCTTTCTTTTATTTATTTATTTATTTTATTATTATTATACTTTAAGTTTTAGGGTACATGTGCACAATGTGCATGTTAGTTACATATGTATACATGTACCATGCTGGTGTGCTGCGCCCATTAACTCATCAATTAGCATTAGGTATATCTCCTAAAGCTATCCCTCCCCCCTCCCACCACCCCACAACAGTCCCCAGAGTGTGATGTTCCCCTTCCTGTGTCCATGTGTTCTCATTGTTCAGTTCCTACCTATGAGTGAGAATATGCAGTGTTTGGTTTCTTGTTCTTGTGATAGTTTACTGAGAATGATGATTTCCAATTTCATCCATGTCCCTACAAAGGACATGAACTCATCATTTTTTATGGCTGCATAGTATTCCATGGTGTATATGTGCCACATTTTCTTAATCCAGTCTATCATTGTTGGACATTTGGGTTGGTTCCAAGTCTTTGCTGTTGTGAATAGTGCCGCAATAAACATACAAGCCAAGATGGCCAAATAGGAACAGCGCCAGTCTACAGCTCCCAGCGTGAGCGACGCAGAAGACGGGTGATTTCTGCATTTCCATCTGAGGTACCGGGTTCGTCTCACTAGGGAGTGCCAGACAGTGGGCGCAGGACAGTGGGTGCAGCACGCCATGTGCTAGCCGAAGCAGGGCGAGGCATTGCCTCACTCGGGAAGCGCAAGGGGACAGGGAGTTCCCTTTCCTAGTCAAAGAAAGGGGTAACAGACGGCACCTGGAAAATCAGGTCACTCCCACCCCAATACTGTGCTTTTCCAACGGGCTTAAAAAATGGTGCACCAGGAGATTATATCCCGCACCAGGCTCGGAGGGTCCTATGCCCATGGAGTATCACTGATTGCTAGCACAGCAGTCTGAGATCAAACTGCAAGGTGGCAGCGAGGCTGGGGGAGAGGCACCCGCCATTGCCCAGGCTTGCTTAGGTAAACAAAGCAGCCTGGAAGCTCGAACTGGGTGGAGCCCACCACAGCTCAAGGAGGCCTGCCTGTCTCTGTAGGCTCCACCTCTGGGGTCAGGGCACAGACAAACAAAAAGACTGCAGTAACCTCCGCAGACTTAAATGTCCCTGTCTGACAGCTTTGAAGAGAGCAGTGGTTCTCCCAGCATGCAGCTGGAGATCTGAGAATGGGCAGACTGCCTCCTCAAGTGGGTCCCTGATCCCTGACCTCTGAGCAGCCTAACTGGGAGGCACCCCCCAGTAGCGGCAGAATGACACCTCACACGGCCGGGTACTCCTCTGAGACAAAACTTCCAGAGGAACGATCAGACAGCAGCATTCACAGTTCACGAAAATCCGCTGTTCTGCAGCCACCGCTGCTGGTACCCAGGCAAACAGGGTCTGGAGTGGACCTCTAGCAAACTCCAACAGACCTGCAGCTGAGGATCCTGTCTGTTAGAAGGAAAACTAACAAACAGAAAGGATATCCACACCAAAAACCCATCTGTACATCACATCATCAAAGACCAAAAGTAGATAAAACCACAAAGACGGGGAAAAAACAGAGCAGGAAAACTGGAAACTCTAAAAAGCAGAGTGCCTTTCCTCCTACAAAGGAACGCAGCTCCTCACCAGCAATGGAACAAAGCTGGACAGAGAATGACTTTGACGAGTTGAGAGAAGAAGGCTTCAGATGATCAAACTACTCCGAGCTACAGGAGGAAATTCAAACCAAGGGAAAAGAAGTTGAAAACTTTGAAAAAAATTTCGATGAATGTATAACTATAATAACCAATACAGAGAAGTGCTTAAAGGAGCTGATGGAGCTGAAAGCCAAGGCTCGAGAACTGCGTGAAGAATGCAGAAGCCTCAGGAGCTGATGTGATCAACTGGAAGAAAGGGTATCAGTGATGGAAGATGAAATGAATGAAATGAAGCGAGAAGGGAAGTTTAGAGAAAAAAGAATAAAAAGAAACGAACAAAGCCTCCAAGAAATATGGGACTATGTGAAAAGACCAAATCTACGTCTGATTGGTGTACCTGAAAGTGAAGGGAAGAATGGAACTAAGTTGGAAAACACTCTGCAGGATATTATCCAGGAGAACTTCCCCAGTCTAGCAAGGCAGGCTAACATTCAGATTCAGGAAATACAGAGAACGCCACAAAGATACTCCTCGAGAAGAGCAACTCCAAGACACATAATTATCAGATTCACCAAAGTTCAAATGAAGGAAAAAATGTTAACGGCAGCCAGAGAGAAAGGTCGGGTTACTCACAAAGGGAAGCCCATCAGACTAACCATGGATCTCTCGGCAGAAACTCTACAAGCCAGTAGAGAGTGAGGGCCACTATTCAACATTCTTAAAGAAAAGAATTTTCAACCCAGAATTTCATATCAAGCCAAACTAAGCTTCATAAGTGAAGGAGAAATAAAATACTTTACAGACAAGCAAACACTGAGAGATTTTGTCACCACCAGGCCTGCCCTAAAAGAGGTCCTGAAGGAAGCACTAAACATGGAAAGGAACAACCAGTACCAGTCACTGCAAAATCATGCCAAATTGTAAAGACCATCGATGCTAGGAAGAAACTGCATCAACTAACGAGCAAAATAACCAGCTAACATCATAATGACAGGCTCAAATACACACATAACAATATTAACTTTAAATGTAAATGGACTAAATGCTCCAATTAAAAGACACAGACTGGCAAATTGGATAAAGAGTCAAGACCCATCAGTGTGCTGTATTCAGGAAACCCATCTCACATGCAGAGACACACATAGGCTCAAAATGAAAGGATGGAGGAAGATCTACCAAGCAAGTGGAAAACAAAAAAAGGCAGGGGTTGCAATCCTAGTCTCTGATAAAACAGACTTTAAACCAACAAAGATCAAAAGAGACAAAGAAGGCCATTACATAATGGTAAAGGGATCAATTCAACAAGAAGAGCTAACTATCCTAAATATATATGCACCCAATACAGGAGCACCTACATTCATAAAGCAAGTCCTCAGTGACCTACAATGAGACTTAGACTCTCACACAATAATAATGGGAGACTTTAACACCCCACTGTCAACATTAGACAGATCAACAGACAGAAAGTTAAAAAGGATATCCAGGAATTGAACTCAGCTCTGCACCAAGCAGACCTAGTAGACATCTACAGAACTCTCCACCACAAATCAACAGAATATATATTTTTTTCAGCACCACACCTATTCCAAAATTGACCACATCATTAGAAGTAAAGCTCTCCTCAGCAAATGTAAAAGATCAGAAATTATAACAAACTGTCTCTCAGACCACAGTGCAATCAAACCAGAACTCAGGATTAAGAAACTCACTCAAAAGCACTCAACTACATGGAAACTGAGCAACCTGCTCCTGAATGACTACTGGGTACATAACGAAATGAAGGCAGAAATAAAGATGTTCTTTGAAACTAATGAAAACAAAGACACAACATACAAGAATCTCTGGGACTCATTCAAAATAGTGTGTAGAGGGAAATTTATAGCACTAAATGCCCACAAGAGAAAGCAGGAAAGATCCAAAATTGACAACCTAACATCACAATTAAAAGAACTAGAAAAGCAAAAGCAAACACATTCAAAAGCTAGCAGAAGGCAAGAAATAACTAAAATCAGAGCAGAACTGAAGGAAATAGAGACACAAAAAACCCTTCAAAAAAGTAATGAATCCAGGAGCTGGTTTTTTGAAAGGATCAACAAAATTGATAGACCGCTAGCAAGACTGATAAGAAAAGACAGAAGAATCAAATAGACGCAATAAAAAATGACAAAGGGGATATCACCACTGATCCCACAGAAATACAAACTACCATCAGGGAATACTACAAACACCTCTATGCAAATAAACTAGAAAATCTAGAAGAAATGGATAAATTCCTTGACACATACACCCTCCCAAGACTAAATCAGGAAGAAGTTGCCTCTCTGAATAGACCAATAACAGGTTCTGAAATTGTGGCAATAATCAATAGTTTACCAAACAAAAAGAGTCCAGGACCAGATGGATTCACAGCCGAATTCTACCAGAGGTACAAGGAGGAACTGGTACCATTCCTTCTGAAACTATTCCTATCAATAGAAAAAGAGGGAATCCTCCCTAACTCATTTTATGATGCCAGCATCATCCTGATACCAAATCCAGGCAGAGACACAACCAAAAAAGAGAATATTAGACCAATATCCTTGATGAACATTGATGCAAAAATCCTCGATAAAATATTGGCAAACCGAATCCCACAGCACATCACAAAGCTTATCCACCGTGATCAAGTGGGCTTCATCCCTGGGATGCAAGGCTGGTTCAATATACGCAAATCAATAAATGTAATCCAGCATATAAACAGAAGCAAAGACAAAAAACACAGGATTATCTCAATAGATGCAGAAAAGGCCTTTGACAAAATTCAACAACCCTTCATGCTAAAAACTCTCAAGAAATTAGGTATTGATGGGAAGTATCTCAAAATAATAACAGCTATCTATGACAAACCCACAGCCAATATCATACTGAATGGGCAAAAACTGCAAGCATTCCCTTTGAAAACTGGCACAAGACAGGGATGCCCTCCCTCACCACTCCTATTCAACATAGTGTTGGAAGTTCTGGCCAGGGCAATTAGGCAGGAGAAGGAAATAAAGGGTATTCAATTAGGAAAAGAGGAAGTCTAATTGTCCCTGTTTGCAGATGACATGATTGTATATCTAGAAAACCCCATTTTCTCAGCCCAAAATCTCCTTGAGCTGATAAGCAACTTCAGCAAAGTCTCAGGATACAAAATCAATGTGCAAAAATCACAGGCATTCTTATACACCAATAACAGACAAACAGAGAGCCAAATCATGAGTGAACTCCCATTCACAATTGCTTCAAAGAGAATAAAATACCTAGGAATCCACCTTACGAGGGACGTGAAGGACCTCTTCAAGGAGAACTACAAACCACTGCTCAATGAAATAAAAGAGGATACAAACAAATGGAAGAACATTCCATGCTCATGAGTAGGAAGAATCAATATCATGAAAATGGCCATGCTGCCCAATGTAATTTATAGATTTAATGCCATCCCCATCAAGCTACCAATGACTTTCTTCACAGAATTGGAAAAAACTACTTTAAAGTTCATATGGAACCAAAAAAGAGCCCGCATAGCCAAGTCAATCCTAAGCCAAAAGAACAAAGCTGGAGGCATCACGCTACCTGACTTCAAAGTATACTACAAGGCTACAATAACCAAAACAGCATGGTACTGGTACCAAAACAGAGATATAGATCAATGGAACAGAACTTAGCCCCCAGAAATAACGCTGCATATCTACAACTATCTGATCTTTGACAAACCTGAGAAAAACAAGCAATGGGGAAAGGATTCCCTATTTAATAAATGGTGCTGGGAAAACTGGCTAGCCATATGCTGAAACTGAATCCCTTCCTTACCCCTTATACAAAAATTAATTCAAGATGGATTAAAGACTTAAATGTTAGACCTTAAACCATAGAAGTCCTAGAAGAAAACCTAGGCATTACCATTCAGGACATAGGCATGGGCAAGGACTTCATGTCTAAAACACCAAAAGCAGTGGCAACAAAAGCCAAAATTGTCATATGAGATCTAATTAAACTAAAGAGCTCTTGCACAGCAAAAGAAACTACCATCAGAGTGAACAGGCAGCCTACAAAATGGGAGAAAATTTTCGCAAACTACTTATCTGACAAAGGACTAATATCCAGAATCTACAATGAACTCAAACAAATTTACAAGAAAAAAACAACCCCATCAAAAAGTGGGCAAAGGACATGAACAGACACTTCTCAAAAGAAGACATTTATGCAGCCATAAAACACATGAAAAAATGCTCACCATCACTGGCCATCAGAGAAATGCAAATCAAAACCACAATGAGATACCATCTCACACCAGTTAGAATGGCAATCATTAAAAAGTCAGGAAACAACAGGTGCTGGAGAGGATGTGGAGAAATAGGAACACTTTTACACTGTTGGTGGGACTGTAAACTAGTTCAACCATTGTGGAAGTCAGTGTGGCGACTCCTCAGGGATCTAGAACTAGAAATACCATTTGACCCGGCCATCCCATTACTGGGTATATACCCAAAGGACTATAAATCATGCTGCTATAAAGACACATGCACATGTACGTTTATTGGGGTCATTTCTTTCTAATGACAAGAATGAGTCAAACACATTTCCTTATAGATTTGCTTTTCTGAGTCGTTCCCCCCTCCCCTCAATTTTACTCATTCATGTTGTCACCTTCTGAGAATACATCTTGGGTATAGGTCTCTGATCTTCTTTACTATGTTGTACTGGCTCTTTCGAAACAAATGTTCCATGCTACCAGATGTTGAATCTCTGGATTCATGCTTTCTCATTGTTTTGTTTTGTTTTACTTTGATTTTTGCCTATGGGTACTTCTCTCTTCTCTGGTAAATGGAGAAAAGGAGAATTTAGATCTATGGCTTTAACAGTGGACACTCATCTCCTTCAATCCAGTGTTAAAGAGGAACATGTTTTCATTGCTCGTGTCTGATAAGCCCTCTCTTTTTAAATATTCCCTTACATTTACAAAGAGTACCTAGTTCTTTCCCTCTCTTAAAGGGCATGGAGTCTCATTAAACAGTCATGTTCTTCAAATGAGATTTATTTGCCCTTGTCTAGACACTTCTAGTACTCCAAAAAGGAAAGGAGAGAGTCTTATGGCTGTACCCAAAGTTTTACAATATGATTGATGACAGAGCACATTAGATTTTCTATTTAGCCAATTTTCCTAGTTATATTTCAGCAGAGAAGGGTACTATTTCATAGTTAGGAAACAGAGTAATTTTCCGATGATGTCATAACTCCAAAATGTTGGAATAAGAATTTTGACTCAGACTCATCTGCCTCCAAGACCAATTTCCACTGTACTACACTGCTTTGGAATAAAAATTATCCTAAGGGTCATCATGGGAATCTGTAGTCTGGGAGGATATCAGATATTAAGGCCTGATCAATGAGAGCAGACACTGTTTAAATATGATCACCCTACCGTTCAGATTTGTCTGTTAAGTAGAAAAGATTGAGACTTGTGGAGGACAAATGACTTGCATCAGTTGAGGAAGGCTGGAGAAGGAAAAGGCAAGGAAATTAAAGAATTGAAAATGCTTTGCATACAGTAGGCTCTTACTATATATTTATTAAATATTTGTTATTGAGTAATGAAGTGTTGGTTAAAATATTTTGATCTTTTTGTCAAAAGGACATTAGGAATTGGAAATAGCATAGAATACTTACAGGTAAGATAACTTAGGCAGGAGCTGAAACTGAATTGGTCAAAACTCCAGAGTAGAAAAGAGAGAATTGAAGGTTAAATATACTGTAGTAATCAGTGCAAAATAACTAATGTTCTGGAAATCAGAAAGTTAGGACAAAGGTCAGTGAAGTCATACTTTAGAGTAGTCAAAAAAGCCTGGAAATTAATTGAAGCTGAATAGCTTTTGCAAATTTCAGAGGAAAAATAAAGAACAAAAAGAATTGTAGAAAGGTTTGACTTGAAACAGTTTCATCTATAAATAGAAACACCAAGTAAGCCATATCCTATTAGGATAGGAATGCCTGACCTTCACTCACTTGATGCTGTTTGCTACATGTGTGGGCCTAGACAACAGACTATTACAAGTAAATAAGTGCACAACAGACCTACTTGAAGTAAAAAATAAAAGTACTAGACTTAGATATAAAATTAATATTGATTATATTCACAACACAATTAATTTTTGAACGAAGTAATAAAACAAGCTCTATCGATGTAAGTAGATTATATCATTTTATATATTTAACTTCTAATTTTGTAAGAATCGTTATTCTTTGGTAATGTTTAAATAATGAATATTATTTTTCTTTTTGTAAGTAGATGTTTTCCTCCTTTTTTTCTCATTCTTATTAAACAGATATCCCAGGAGAAAAAGAAAGGAAATCTCATTGGTGAAATGGCTGCTGATATAATGTGACATAAATTTATGGCAAAAACTTAAAAAACAACTTCATGGAAGTCAGTTTATTTCTTTGTCATTTTAACAAAATTTATTCCAAATATAGGAGTAATAAAAGCATAATTTTCACTTGTTCAGGCATTCGCTCAGGCTTTAGTGACTATATGACACAACCACGGAGAAATAAACCTTGTTAAGACAAAATTCTTTAAAAAGTCATATTGTATTATTTATCTGTTATTGCTTAACAGTTAACCCCAACATTTTTTGGCTTAAAGTAACATTTATTATCTCATAGTTTCTTTGGTCTGGGAATTTAGGTGCAGCTTAGCTGTGTCATCAGGCTCAGTCTTTTGCAAGTCTGCAATCTAGGTGTCTCCTAGGCTCAGTCACATGGAGGTTTGGCGGGGAAAGGATGCCACTTCCAGTGGGAAGGATTCACCTCCACACGGGCTGTCAGACTGAAGCTTTAGTTTCTCCTTGGCTGTTGGCTGGAGGTTGTCCTCAGTTCCTTGCCATGTGGATCTCTCTATAGCGTAGCATACAATAAGGCAGCTGGCTTCCTTCAGGGGAAGTGAGCAAGAAGAGCCAGAAAGAATTTGAATAAGTGAAGTCAGGCTTTTTTGTAATGTATTCTCAGAAGTGAGATCCTATTCACCTTTTTCCTTAAGGGCGAATCACCAGGTCCAGCCCACACTCAAGGAGGGGAAGGTTGTAAATACAGATGGGAGGAAACTGTCTTAGAAGGCTGCCTACCACCTATGTTTCACTGTTTCCTCCCCATTCTGAGATTTTTACTAATTATCAAGTAGGATTTATATAGTCCACAAATCAGTAAGTAACATTTCCCAGACTGGCACATTCATTCTCAACTTTATTAATTAAATATTTATTGAAAAAACCTGAATCCATACAATGTCACTGTATATGCTACTGTGTGTATTTTATCATAAGGGTATGTATGAGAGTATATGGATGTATTAGGCACAGATATATGCAGCCACTCTGAAAGATATACCAGAGGGTTCTTATGTAAAGTGACAACTATTCCTTGTTAAGAAAATGCAGGAAAGGCTCGTTTGGCTTAGGAAGTAGTCTGTGTTCTGCTTTAATCTGGATTTCTCATTTGTGTATGTCACTTTGCTCTTGTTTCTATGCCTTTCTTCGTTGGTGTTGATATCTCTTACTTCAGGATCCTTATTCTGTTTGCAAGAAACTCTTAGTATCTGCTAATGCAATTGCTGAAAGGTCATTTTAAGTATAGTCTTTATAAATTGATTTCTGCAGAGTCTTTGCTTCCTTTGCTCCAATATGCCCTGCAAAATCCTTTCCGCCTGCATTAGTTGTTAACCTCAAGAATAACTTTTGTCTATTTGCTTGGCCCTGTAGCTCTTTCTCTTGCCTGAGAAATCTGTGCCTACCCTTATGTCTTTTCTGCCACCTTATTTCTTTTTGTGATGCTAAGGTTAAGGGTATGTTTTACATCCCATTCATTTTGGCCAGATGAGTCAGTTTTTCAGTGGCTGAGTTGAAATGTGACCCTGCCATGTTTGCAGTACCAGGATATCAACAAAAATTTAGGAATAATTTTCTTCACAGTGTTTTATTTTCACTATTTTGTATGCTACATGATGATGATAAGATAGAAATGATAGATACTATACATCTTATTTGAAAAAATTCTGAAAAACTTTTATTGTTTATCATTATGGCAATATCAAGGACTGTTTTGACTCCCTTTCTCTCTCTCTCTGATTGCTAACTAGGGAATTACAAATCAAGAGGCCTCCTTTATAACTTTAATTTTCTAAATGAGTAACTGTATCCAGTTTATTCAATTTCGTTTTATGCTGGCACAAACTTCCTAAGAAGGTATGACAGTATTTTGTTTTTTTTTTGATGGAGTCTCGCTGTATCACCAGGCTGGAGTGCAATGGCATGATCTCAGCTCACTGCAACCTCCGCCTCCCAGGTTCAAGTGATTCTCCTGCCTCAGCCTCCTGAGTAGCTGGGACTACAGGCGTGTGCCACCACGCCCTGCTAATTTTTGTATTTGTAGTAGAGACAGGGTTTCACCTTGTTGACCAGGATGGTCTCGAGCTCTTGACCTCTTGATCTGCCTGCCTTGGCTCCCAAAGTGCTGGGATTACAGGCATGAGCCACCAGGCCTGGCCAGGGTTATTTTTTAAGGAAAATTAATGTACTCTATTGGTATATAGGTCTTTTCTCTTTGGTCCTCTTATTTAGTAACTTTAATCCTTTTATTCTTTCAATCTTATAAAAAATAACTATAAAGACAAGGAGAGACTTTTAATTTTATTCCAAATATAGGAGAGAAATTATTATAGTTTTTTATAGTTATTTTTTGTTTCTCAAATAGAGCTAGATGTTTTATCATTCTATTTTAGTTTAATGCAGTAAAATCTTCAAGTTAGTGTTCTGGCTTATTAAATACTTGGGTTTTTTTGTTGAGAGAACAGAATAAAAATATGCAGATTGTGTGAATTCAGGTGTGTGATGTTTTCAACAGCCTCCAAATCATAAAATGCAATTTTCTCCTTTTAGTGCCTGGTTCATGATACTAAATGGCTTAGAAAATTGTATTAGGTAATTTTCTCTAGTGCATTTGATGCACATTGCACTAATATTGTGAAGTGCCTTTGTTTTAACACATTTTCTTATAAGTTAGATAAATTAAAATTTCTGAAGGATGGAATTGGATCAAGATGATTATGATTAGGAAGATGGCTCATTCCTCTCCAATAACATTAAATATGGTTAATTCCATGCATTACTGATGTAAACCTAAGTAACTTCACCATTTACTCTAATGACCACTTTCTTGCTTATATATTAGTAGATGAAGAGTGCTTTGTCTAATATTTATGCAACAAAGGCTCTTTATTCCTGCGAATGTATGTAGGAGATGTTACCTATATCTTCCATAAAAATATTTTTATTACTCAAAGTAGCTATTTTCAGAGACACCTAATAATGACTCCATTCATTTCAGGGGTTTTAAAAATTGTACTCAAATCTTAAGCAGGATAAGATTCTTTTATGCCTTCTAATGCTCAGGTAAATGATATGTGTTATGGTAAAACATTTATGGAGTGATAAAGACCTTTGTGGAATGATAAATACCTTTGTGGAATGATAAATATATGTAGCTGATGGAATGATACAGGCAGATAAGAATGACTTACTCAGAGCAAGAGCTTATCTTTGTGTCTTCTATTTATAAAGATGAGATTTCTATTGTATTTACCCATTTCTAGTAGATTATTTTCTTCATGCTACTCCCAATCTGTTCTATACTACCTATTTTGGGTTTCTGTTTAGGTGGGACTTGGCATATGTTGAGTGCTTAGCATATAGTGAACACTCAATACATGTTGATTTTACAAATTAATCTATGGAATTATTATGTCCCCTTACTCTTATGGTAGCACAACCATAAATAATTGTTCTGAGTTACATTTTAGGTTAAAAAATTAGCATTAAGTTATTAATGACAGATAATGTGATGTCTCACCATCATTCTTTCTACAGTAATCTTATTTTACAGGGAAGAAAACTTAACATGGTAATTAATCTTATAGAAATTTCATCCCCTTAGGCAGATTGAGGTTTAAGGAGATCCTACTGGTATCTTCAGTAGGATCACATTACCCAGTATAGGAGAGGAAAAATAATTTTCTCCTCCCAGTTCTTTGCTGGGACTCCCTGTAACATAAGATGGACTAACAAGGCAAAAACAAATGGTTGAATTACATGTATACTTCCTGTATACATGGGAAATAACCCAAAGAAATGAGTAAATATGTAGAGTACGTTTCAAAGAGTTTACTTATACTTCAGGCTTAATTACCATAGTTCTCTGAAACAAAGAAAGAAGGGTATGGGGGAAGATCTGGTTAAGACAAGCATGCCAGAAAAGCACCATAGAACAAGGGAGAAGTATGTTTTAAAAATTTAAGTTGATGCTTTCTCCTTTGATTAAGAGGCTCTAGTGATTTTTTGCTTTAGAGAGACACCATCACAAATGGATATTTACTTTATAGATGTAAATTTTACTTGTAAAAGGGTGACTTTTCAGAGCTTCTTTTGTGTCTGCAGCTTCTCAAAATAACCAGCTCAAAATAATTCTTATTCCATAAAGGCCTATTTCAAGTGACATATTCTGGCCTCTTACAGTCATACTTTAGGGTGGCATATTCTGAGCCCCATCACTAGCCAGTGTCTTCTGTTGAGATGAAATGAAGTTCAAGACAGTTTGCAACCACACCTATTCAAAGCAAAAGTGACAAAATCATTAAAAACAGATGTTGGGTAGCATAACTATTTATAGTATTAATAGTATTATCATTGGAGTTTTATACTCTTCCTTTTCCATTCCTGAAGTTTAGAAAACATAGGCTTAGATATGAATGTTGTTTATAGCTCAAGAAAATTCTATATTGTATCACTTCATTGAAAGAGAATTAGAAAATAAGACAGACAAGAAGCTTAGATTTAACAGTAGAGAAATGAGAGAGTAACCTAATGGAAAGGCTCCTGCAACTGTGGCGATGGCAAACCAGACTCACCAAAGCCAGAAAGAAGGTTCAGGACACACTTCTGCCAGAATGCCTACCCTGGCACAACACTGTACAATCAGAAAAAGATATCCTATTTTCCAGCCTCTCTCAGAGAAGGGAAGAATTTGGTTCGGGACTCCCCTGAAGACTGGATTCTTTCTTGTCAGGTTTGGGCCTCTGACATGATTGGCACAGTCTAGCTGTCAAGGGGAGAGTAGAGATGATGATTTGTACTGGTAGATGCCATAAGTCATACTCACTGCTCAGCATAGAGTGAGCTGATGAGAAACCCCAGCTCTCACCTTTCTTTTGAGGAGGAAGAAGTTGCTCTGTTGTCCAACACTCCAACTTCTCTGGGACTGCTCAAAGGATAGAAAAATGAAACTAAAGCAATTGGAAACATAGGTTTGGAAATGGAAACATAGGTCAGAAGTTATTTATAATGACACTTTAGAAGAGTTAAAGATAACGGTAAGAAATTAAATACAGACCTTAGAACTGTTAGAAAATAAAGAGTTGAAGTTTGAACTTGAATATATTAAAGTGTCTGTCTGTATGGCAGGACTCAATAAATCAAGTCTTAAAATTGAGATAATGAGATTGAGCCAATACTGAGAAAAACAGCTTATCATTGTCACTCTCATGAGGTTCGGTTTGCAAATACTGTTGAATAGACTAATCCAAAGATTGAATAGTCCAAACCAAAGAGAGGGCTATACCCATAGTTAATCAGAGCTGCCTGCTGTTGTTAGACAGACTTGGGCTAAGACAAAATAGTCTTACCAAGTTGAGAATGTGTCAAGAGAGGTAGAAGGATTTTCCTAAGATATTGCAGATCTTGAGAAGCAGAGTAAATTTGACCCCAGTTAGGTGGCATCCAGTCCTCTGTTCTTTTCAATATGTCTAGAATACTTTTTTTTACCTAAAACATAAGCAGATACTGAGAATCTGAAATAGAAAAGGAGACTCATAAATGATGTGTTTAAGTGAAAGCAGTCCTAGGAGACACTGACAGTTGTCACAATTTAGAGCCTACATTCATAAAACTGCTTGCATAACTTATATCTCAGTTTCACAGGAAGAAATGTAGTAATATTTAACAGTGATGAAAAAGGGATGACTTGTCCTCATAGCATCTACAACAGTCTGATGACTGTTTTCCTGAGCTTTGCAGCAACATATTATTATGTAACAAAAATAAAATGGCCATGATATACCAATGTGAAAGCAAGTAGAAAAAAACAAAAACAATTTCATTTTCTGCCATAATAGGAATGTGTTCAACAAAACCACTCATTGCAGTTTAGCCACTTATCTCCCAGATCCTTGCTATTAACATTCATGTCATAAAGAAATAGAATGTAAGCCATTAACTGCTACCATAGTAGAGAAAATTAGAGATGTACTTGAGAACTATAAAGAGGAACATTGCCATCTCCTTCTATAATGGGTGTAGATTATTCAGAAAAAAGGATCCATGGAAAAGAGTCTTGTGATTGCAAGTTATTACTCTAATAGAAAGTGATTAAGTGTTAAGACTACCAATCTGGTTTGATTTGCTTTAAAACAAATAACATGGCTTGATCTTTCTCAGGACTCAGGGCCTAGTATTAGTAATGTCAAATAAAATGATTTCACTGAACTACTAGTATCGTGGAAAATAACTGCTCGGATGCATTGAGAACTTGAAAAAAGTGTTCTTGTATTTGCTCCACAGTTAGTATTTGTATCTGTAAACTCAATATCTTTCATTTTTTTCTTTACATTAGAGTTTGCCATCAAAAGTATTACACTTCAGTGTATAGTTTTCTTGGATTTTAAAAATTAAAATTATACAAATATTTCAAATTTCAACATATATGTTTTGTGTGTCCTCTAGCATATATATTCAATTCATTTTTTAGGCTTACCTTTTCTGAAAAGAATTTAGCAGCAGAAGAATCACATTTTGGTAATTGAAAATTATCAAATATGATATGATATCTAGTTCTAAAAAGTATTACTTAGAAATTAGAATTAAACCTGATGAAAACATGGCAAAGAAGGGACAGAAGTGAGCACCAATTAGCTAGAAAAATTACTTACTGTCCCATAAATTTCTAGACCCATCATGATTCTAATTGCTAATATAATTTTTTATTTTATAAACACTTTTTTGGCACTTATCCTATGTAAGAACTATTATGTTTTTCATATATTTACTCACTTCTCACAACAACTTTATGTTGTAAGTTCCTTTATTATACATATTTTATAAATAAAAAACTGAGGCAAAAGGAGGTGAAATAGTTTGCCCATGTTCTCCCTGATATGGTCAGAGATATACCGAATAGAATGAAATACAAATCTGTCTTGATTTGAATATTGGCTATACAATATGTTTTTTTTCTATTTATGTAGGTAAGATTAGATTATCTTTTTGGTCACTTCCAGTATTTTCTTGGCCCTAATAGGACTTGTAGACAATCCAATCTCCAACCCTTTTTGAAGTGAACTGAACTAATTTTGATATGTATTAGGTTTTATTTGTGTTTTTTAAAAAGCATGTGTCTTTACATTTATCCTCATTGAATTTTGCATTATGTGTATCATCTCATTACCTAAGGACCCATAAGCACATAACTAGGATGTGAGACACCCCCCAGTCCTAGGTACCAGCTTGAGTGCTTCCCTGAATCAATGTCTGTATACTTAACAATTGTCAAAGAGATCTAGAAAAATATTTTTGTAGCAATAATAAGTGTTATTTTTTCTATGTACATGAGCGAGAGCTCCTCATCTTGATATTATAATTTGCAAAATAATAACTACAGTCATATAGTTATCAATTAGAAAGCGGAGACTAGAATTTAGGTTTCCCTTGATATTCAATAGAGATGAAAATTTCTTTTGTTCTAATTCAATCTGATCAACAGAAGATGATGTTGATGAGAAGTAATTATGAAGCCACATTCTCAGAAGAAGTTTTAAGTAAAATCTATCAGAAATGGCATAATGTTGTATTTAGTTGTGTGAATGATCTGAGTAAACTGAAAGCCCTATTTCATATAGATAGAGCTTTGTACACATTACTCAGTTTCAAAATATCTTTAGTTACTACTTTTATTTGACAATTACAGAAGTATTTGGATGCTTATTTTCTTTTTTTCTTGGAGGCTTATTAATTTTTAATTATACTGACTTCTCTTTTAGAAATCATGAGATACTCTATTTTTCTCTGTAGTCTTTATGAGAGGTGAAGCCAGCTGGGCTTCCTGGGTCAGGTGGGGACTTGGAGAACTTTTCTGTCTAGCTGAAGGATTGTAAATGCACCAATCAGTGCTCTATGTCTAGCTAAAGGTTTGTAAACGCACCAATCAGCACTCTGTAAAAACGGACCAATCAGCACTCTGTAAAATGGACCAATCAGCAGGATGTGGGCAGAGCCAAATAAGGGAATAAAAGCTGGCCACCTGAGCCCACAGCGGCAACCCAATGGGGTCCCCTTCCACGTGTGGAAGGTTTGTTCTTTCCTTCTTCGCAATACATCTTGCTGCTGCTCACTCTTTGGGTCTGCACTACCTTTATGAGCTGTAACACTAACTGTGAAGGTCTACAGCTTCACTCCTGAAGTCAGCAAGACCACAAACCCACCGGGAGGAAAAAACAACTCCGGAAGCACCACCTTTAAGAGCTGTAACACTCACTGCGGAGGTCTGTGGCTTCACTCCTGAAGTCAAGCGAGACCACGAACCCACCAGAAGGAAGAAACTCTGAACACATCTGAACATCTGAAGGAACAAACTCTGGACACACCATCTTTAAGAACTGTAATACTCACCACAAGGGTCCGCAGCTTCATTCTTGAAGTTAGCGAGACCAAGAACCCACCGGAAGGAACCAATTCTGGACACAGTTATAGTAAATAATCTTAATAACATAGGTAATTAAAACTAACAGTGTTATAATATTCCATACAAGGTAGTAAATATATGTAGAACTAGCATAAGATTTTTCTAAACTAGGCTATTCCGTATTATAAGCCCAAACCACTCTTCCCCGTATCCTTTTTCACTCCACACATGCCACTGAATTTACTTACAAGATTATAATGTATTACTCTAAATATTTTTTTGTGTTTCTTGATTCTTTTCTTCACTTATTTGTTAGGTACATTATATCTTTGCCCTACTAGATTACAAACATTAAGACACTATTTTTCTTCATTTATACATATCCTTCTATACAAAATACTTTTAAGACCTCATACCACAGATCAGACAACATAATAAATCTTTAGTAGTGAGGAGCACTTCATAGTTAAAAATACTTTCGTACACATCTTTTCATTTAAAAGTATCATTTAGAAGGGAGATAAAGCAAGATAAAAGTATTTTTATATACATCTTTTAACTTTTGAACTATGAAGTGCTAGTTTATAGTTAAAAATACTTTAATATACATCTTTTTATTTAATTGATATTAAATGTGACAAGATATAATTTTATTATTTTATTCAGAATAAAATTGAAGCTCATATAGCTTAGATGGCTTATTCAAAGTCATAAATATACTGTATTAGTTTCCTAGGGATTCTTTAATAAATTATACCTGAAACTTGATAGCTTCAAACAACAGAAATATTTTCTTTAACAGTTCTGGAGGCCAAAAGTACAAGATCAAGGTGTCAGCAGGGTCACACTGTCTCTCAGTGCTCTAGAGGAGCTCTGTCTTTTTCCAATTTCTGGTGGCTTCCAGAATTCCTTGATTTATGGAAACATAACTCCAGTCTCTGCTTCCATCTTTACATGACCTTCTTCTCTGTAGTTGCCCTTCTTCTCTTTATAAGGAACTTATTGTTAGATTCAGGGGCCACCCTAATCAAGCGTCATTTCTTCTTGAAATGCTCACCTGAATTATACCTGCAAAGACCCTTTTTCCAAATAAGGCCGATTTCACAGGTTCTGGGGGAATGTATCTTTTGGGAAGCCATAGTTCAACTCATCACCCCTACATATACTAATTAGAGACATCTCAGGACTTGAATCTAGGCATTTGCACTCCAAATCTATTTACAGGCCTCAAAAGCTAATTATGGCAAGGGAAAACATAATATTTTAGAGTGACTATGAAAGTGAAAGACTTAGATATAGTGAAACTAATTTTGAGCAAGTCAGAGAAAATTTACATTTTCTTTAAACACTCATTTAGTTTTAACTAGGTCTAGGCAACAGGCTAGAGAATTAAATATATGTATGAAATATTATTTTATTTAATTTTCACAACAATGGTGTAATGTATACCTTATCCTAACTGCAGATGGAGACATTGAGATTAAGCTGGGCTAAATAACATTTGAAGGCCACAAGTTGGTAAATAGCACTGATGAAACTGGTACTCTGATCTGTTCACCACAAAAGTCATTCAATACCATGTCTGAACTCATTTTATTCCATTTCGTAGGCTGAGTACAATGATATGTTAGATATCTCAGAAGTTCTCATTCAACATTATTGTGGTGGATATAGTTTAAACCATAATAAAATATCACAATAAAAATGAGTTTTCAGGTATTAAAAAATACTTTTTATAATCTGGTATAGTAGGGCAATTTTAATACATGGATATTTTAAAATAAAATTGTCAATAGTTAAGTATAGCGCAATGTCAGAAATTGTAAATAAAAATATGAAATTTTCTCTAACATACCTTGTGTATCTTTTAGTAGTATCATCAGAATTTGCAAAGTGTCTTTTTTCTGTTTAGAAACAAAAAGTATTTTCAAATTCTAAACAACTACATAAATCAGTTTCCTTTGCAAAAATTGTATTACTATTATAGCAAGAATTCAAGAATAAAAAGAAAAGAATTCAAGAACTAAATCAATTTAAAATATAGACTCCAAATAAATGATTAATTAAATAATGATGTTTTATTATTTCATACTATTATTATTTCATACTAAGTTTATTATTTCATACTAAGTAAATGCTTACTCTCTTTGGCTTGGTCCCAAGCACTGGGAATGTAGTTGTGAACAAGGCAGACTAAATAACTGACTGATGGAGCTGACATTCTGGTGGAGAGACAATGACTTACTTCACTACCTGACTCTATAATTGGCAATGCTGATGCTCCATTTTTTGTTTTGTTTCGTTTTTTGTTTCAGCTTTCATGACATCAGTAGCACACTCAGCTGATTTTTCTTCTATCTATCTGCCTGTTTTTTCTTAGTTTTCTTCTCCACTTCATACTAAAAAAGTTGATATCTCCCAGAGAGCTCTTTTCTAGGCTCCCTACTCTTTTCATTTTCACGAGGAGTCTGTGCAGACTACTCATGTATTTTGTTTTGTTTTGTTTTGTTTTGAGACAGAGTTTCACTCTTGTTGCCCAGGCTGGAGTGCAATGGCGTGATCTTGGCTCACCACAATCTCCGCCTCGAGGGTTCAAGCGACTCTCCTGCCTCAGCCTCCCGAGTAGCTGGGATTACAGGCATGCGCCACCACGCCCGGCTAATTTTATATTTTTAGTAGAGAGAGGGTTTCTCCACGTTGGTCAGGCTGGTCGTGAACTCCCGACCTCAGGTGTTCCGCCTGCCTCAGCCTCCCGAAGTGCTGGGATTACAGGCATGAGCGACCATGCCCGGCTCATGTTTCTCTTTATACAGCTAAATCTTTATGTTCAATAGAGCTCCCTTCCTCGAATTAGAGTATGACAAATTTAACTGCCTGGACACATCACTTGGAATGCTTTATCCTCACTACCAACTCTCCTATTCAATCAATTGTTAATCCACCTAGTAAACATTTCTCTAGTTTGTCTGCTTCTATCTATCCTCAACGTCAACACCTTACCCATAATCACCTACCTGATCTTTATAAACTCCCAGCAGCCTTCAGTCTTTCTCCGCATCACCCACCTTCAGTCTATGTTTCACGTTGCAGGCAGAGTACTTTCTAAAATTAAAGTTTAAAAATATGCATCTACTGATTTAAAGCCATTTAAAAGGCCGGGCGCGGTGGCTCACGCCTGTAATCCCAGCACTTTGGGAGGCCGAGGCGGGTGAATCACAAGGTCAGGAGATTGAGACCATCCTGGCTAACACGGTGAAACCCCGTCTCTACTAAAAATACAAGAAATTAGCCAGATGTGGTGGCGGGCTTCTGTAGTCTCAGCTATTCAGGGGGCTGAGGCAGGAGAATGGTGTGAACCCAGGAGGCGGAGCTTGCAGTGAGCCGAGATCGTGCCATGGCACTCCAGCCTGGGCGACAGAGCGAGACTCTGTCTCAAAAAAAAAAAAAAAAGTTTCTCGTCTTTCTCACAATAACGTCCAACTCCTTATTATGGCATGATGACTGGGCCTTGGTTTATCTCTCTAGCCCTTTTACCCTTTTCATTTTTAGTTCGTACGTATTGAACTTCTTTCATTTGTAAGAATCTACACATGCAACTGCTTCTAGCTCTTCTAACTCTTGCCCTTCACTTGAAAAATATTTTTTTTAAAAAAACCTATATTAGGAATCAGGTATTCCAGAAAGCTTTACATAATGCCCTAAATTTGGATTATATGTCTCTTCTATATTTATTGCATCATATACTCATATGCTTCCTCTGTTGTTTCACTTCTCACATTGTAGTATGACTGCCAGTGAAGTTGGCTTGATGAAGTCAAGAACAAGAGCTTTTCTGTTCATCAGTTTAGTTTCAGTATCTAGCAGTTATTGGCATACAGTATGTATTACTTAATTAGTGATTATCATATCTTGATTTCAGCTTTTCAATGATATCTATTTAATTTTAAATCTATTTCCTTTATAAGATTTGGTTCATGAATTTTTAAAAGTGTTTTTTAGCAACATTGGATGCAAATAATTAGATCCATTCTGCTTGTCAGGTTGAATACAGCAAGGTTTTTCTTTCTCCATTTTCTTTTTCTACTCTATTCTGTGAAGTATAGTAACAAAGAAAAATTTATCTTCCTACTTCTAACTTATCAGATTACTGAATATACTCTATAGCATCTTCAGCTATCACTATAGGTCATTATTTTTAAACAATGTCTGCCAATCTTATTCTGTCATTTTATTTACCTTGATAGTATAATACCCTTTACAATGGATTTTTCATGGAAAAGCATTGTTAAGAACCAATATACTCTTTATCTGTAATATCTGTCTACTTTCTAATATAATTGGATTTTTTTTTCTATTATTAGAAAATGGCCTTTAGAAATGTAGGTAAATTAAAGTGCTCAATTGGTTTTGTCATTAGTATTCATTATTTTATATATAATTACATTTTCTTTTTAATTTTCCCTTTTTCAACTAAATGTGCCCTTCAGTCTTTTTATCATAAAGTATGCCTCATTTTCCTTATGAGTGTAGTAGTTCTCATTGCTTTTCTGGTTCTCTATTTTTTTCTATATAGCCTCCTAAAGATGAGATGACTAAGTTGACCACCTTAGTATTATATTTAAGATAAGAAGATATTATTGATTCAAAATTGAGGTATTAAACTATGTGTGTCCTACTTCTGGCCTCTTTTAATATGGCTTAACACCTCATTCCATTTTTATTGCCTCTAGGTAGTGAACAAATGTCTTCATGGAATTGCACAAAGAGATACATAAATCTTATTCCTGAGAAAATTACATTTAGTGCAGAGCTCATCAATGTGTATGAGTAATTTAAATTTATTTTTCAAATGTGCTTTGCCTTTACATATTTTAAATGGATTTTATCAACCTTTGTGTTTCTTAATTACCTCATATTGTTAGGTTTTTTTGGAATTCAACCAATTTCCCTAATCTCAAGAAAATTAAAATAATTATTTTTTATAAATTTTGAAACTTCACCTTCTTTCCAGATCATTAACGAAAGTATTGAATAGGAGATACACAGTTCTGGGTCCTAGACTAACCCTGGTAATTAACCTCTTTGCTTTCTGAGGATTTGAAACTTATTTCCACTCCATTTCTACCACTTAACTTATTTTTAATGGCTTAGGGCCATCACCAGGGGGGTTGAGGGACCTGAGCTAATCTTTTTGCAATCTCATTGCTTAACATTTTTATTCATATGAAATCCTTTGAAAATTAACATCAAGGGTATTTCTTAAAGTGAAAAGCTCCTGGGACTCTGTGTGAAGAAGCTTGTTTATAGTTTGCAAACCCATTTCCAAAGCTTCCTCCCAGCCCTTTTTTATGAGCCAATGCTTCTCTAGTTTTAGAATTCATAGAAAATCACTTTGTGTTTAAAATGTAGGTTTTTATGCCCCTCCTTGGATGCACTAAATCAGAATATATCATGATTTGGTTGACTCACTTTACCTTTTTAAGAAAAAAGCCTAGCTGAATCCTAGTTGTCCAAGCTTTACTTCTCAGAACGTAGTCCAAGGATCAGAATAATCAGCATCACTTGGGTGTTTTTTAGATATACAGACTTTCAAGCCTTTGAATCAGAATCTGAATTTTTGACAATAATCTTATTGATTACTTGCCCGTTAAAATTGGAGAAGCACTCTCTAGAGCACACGTTGGGAAGCTACAGTGTAAGAAAACAATCACTTATGTCATTCGTAGTACCAGATTTTAATTCTTCCTTAACTCCTTTCTCTCCCTTAGCATTTACCAGTTTACCTAGATTTAGACTTTGAAATATCTATGATGTGTCTGCTTTCTGCTGGGTAATAAGCTATATACTGGAAATAAATAATTCTTGCCTGAAAGAACGTAATATCTGGGACAGCATGTTTAACTTTCTGTTTTAATTTCTAAAAGGTTTAAGTAGAGATTAGGCACTATGTCACCTTTATCCTGGTGTTTTATATGTATTTTACAGCCTTTAATATGTTGGGAAATTTTTTAAGCCATGTTAATTTCCTGCTTTCATAATATTCTGGCTACTTAAAAATCACCTTGTCTTCATTTTTGTAAATATTTTTATATGATTTTCTTTACTGGATTGCTCTAATTGCTGAAGGCTATTTATATTACACAATTCCCTTCCTTATAACTTTCTTTAATTTTTCTAGTCCTCTGGAACATTTTATATGGTTTCTGTGTTTCCCTCATGAATGTTTTTGAGTGTTTGAAGACACCTGTACTATTCCTATGGTCCATTTTTTAAATCACTTAATCCATTTATCCTAAATTTCTTTTAACACATAAATCCCACAATAAACACTATAGCATATACAACATAAATATAATCTGCAAAGCCCACATACTCAGTGGCACCGCTATCTGAATCTGGTCTGTATACTTTTACGGATATCTCCATGGATTGCATTAACTTTGAGATCATGCATTCTGAGATACTTGTAATGTAATTAACTGGAATTGTATCTTTATAATTTTGTATGCATACAGTTTTATTTCTTAATTTACTTCCTAATGAAGTGTTTTTGCTTAGTTAAATTTGTTAGGAAGCTATTTTACAAATATGTTTAATTTTAAATTAAACTTCCCATGACCTCTCTGTACAGTTTTCTTTTTGTTGAACCACATTCTATTATGATTAAGGTTTTTCAATATTCGTACCTTTTGGAGGTGTTTCTCATTGAAGTATACTAATGTGTGGTAAGTAGATTACATGTGTCAAGAGTCTGCTAATCATGCAAATATTTGAGCTCTACCAGGATCTACTGAAGCTAACCATCTATGAGTTTAATAAGTTCCCCAGGTGATTCTTACCAAGATTTGATGACCTTAAAAGCCTTTATTTATGCTCTCAAAAAGACTGGATCAAAATTAAGGGTCATATAATCAATTTATTGTGCTGTAGAATAAAATTATGTAAATCTTAATGTATCTGAAAGCATGAAAAGAATGATGGTTTTAGTAAATCATACATAATTTTGATTATCACATAAATCTAGGCAGGATATATTTTCTTATCAGAATTTTGCTATCCAGTATAGTGACCTAAATAAAAAATATCCAAATATCTGGCAAAATAGAAGCTTGTTTAATTGTTTGGCGTGTTTCTTCATTTATTAATATTTAGGATTATATAATTTTTAAGTTTCTTTAAGCTTAGCATTTTATTTTTTTTCCCGTAAGGAAAAAATTGGCATGTTATTATTACATTAAAACTATATTCTCAGAGCTAAAGCAGAAGCTACTTAGGTAGGAAAATTGACTCCATAGACTTATGTGGCTTTCTCTTTTCATAAGCGTATTTCTAAACTACAAGTAATCAGTTATTCTCTTTAATAATAAGTCAGAAAAATTTATTTTTTCCCCATGTTTCTGCCATAGGGAGCTTTTTCTTTATAAACGAAATTTCTTTTCCAGGCAACTATGTCTCAAGTGGGTATAATAAAGCCCCAGACCATTGATGTAGGATTTACTGGTCTTTATTTTTTTATTATTATTTATATATATATTTTTTATTACACCTTAAGTTCTAGGGTACATGTGCACAATGTGCAGGTTTGTTACATATATATACATGTGCCATGTTGGTGTGCTGCACCCATTAACTCGTCATTTACATTAGGTATATCTCCTAATGCTATCCCTCCCCCTTCTCCCCACCCCACAACAGGCCCTGGTGTGTGATGTTCCCCTTCCTGTGTCCAAGTGTTCTCATTGTTCAATTCCCGCCTATGAGTGAGAACATGCGGTGTTAGGTTTTTTGTTCTTGCTTCCTTTAGTTTGCTGAGAATGATGGTTTCCAGCTTCATCTATGTCCCTACAAAGGACATGAACTCATCATTTTTTATGGCTGCATAGTATTCTACGGTGTATATTTGCCACATTTTCTTAATCCAGTCTATCATTGTTGGACATTTCGGTTCGTTCCAAGTATTTGCTATTGTGAGTAGTGCCACAATAAACATACGTGTGCATGTGTCTTTATAGCAACATGATTTATATTGCTTTGGATATATACCCAGTAATGGGATGGCTGAGTCAAATGGTATTTCTAGTTCTAGATCCCTGAGGAATCGCCACACTGTCTTCCATAATGGTTGAACTAGTTTACAGTCCCACCAACAGTGTAAAAGTGTTCCTATTTCTCCACATCCTCTCCAGCACCTGTTGTTTCCTGACTTTTTAATGATCGCAGTTCTAACTGGTGTGAGATGATTATCTCATTGTGGTTTTGATATCCATTTCTCTGATGGCCAGTGATGATGAGCATTTTTTCATGTGTCTGTTGGCTGCATAAATGTCTTCTTTTGAGAAGTCTCTGTACATATCCTTTGCCACTTTTTGATGGGGTTGTTTGTTGCTTTCTTATGAATTTGTTTGAGTTCTTTGTAGATTCTGGATATTAGCCCTTTGTCAGATGAGTAGATTGCAAAAATTTTCTCCCATTCTGTAAGTTGCCTGTTCACTCTCATGGTAGTTTTTTTGAGTGCAGAAGCTCTTTAGTTTAATTAGATCCCATTTGTCAATTTTGGCTTTTGTTGCCCTTGCTTTTGGTGTTTTAGACATGAAGTCCTTGCCTATGCCTATGTCCTGAATGGTATTGCCTAGATTTTCTTCTAGGGTTTTTATGGTTTTAGGTCTAACGTTTAAGTCTTTAATCCATCTTGAATTAATTTTTGTATAAGGTGTAAGGAAGGGATCCAGTTTCAGCTTTCTACATATGGCTAGCCAGTTTTCCCATCACCATTTGTTAAATAGGGAATCCTTTCCCCGTTTCTTGTTTTTGTCAGATTTGTCAAAGATCAGAAGGTTGTAGATGTGTGGTATTATTTCTGAGGGCTTTGTTCTGTTCCATTGGTCTATATCTCTGTTTTGGTACCAGTACCATGCTGTTTTGGTTACTGTAGCCTTGTAGTATAGTTTGAAGTCAGATAGTGTGATGCCTCCAGCTTTGTTCTTTTGGCTTAGGGTTGACTTGGCAATGCAGGCTCTTTTTTGGTTCCATATAAACTCTAAAGTAGGTTTTTCCAATTCTGTGAAGAAAATCATTCGTAGCTTGATGAGGATGGCATTGAATCTATAAATTACCTTGGGCAGTATGGCCATTTTCACGATACTGATTCTTCCTATCCATGAGCATGGAATATTCTTCCATTTGCTTGTGTCCTCTTTCATTTTGTTGAGCAGTGGTTTGTAGTTCTCCTTAAACAGATCCTACACATCCCTTGTAACTTGGATTCCTAGGTATTTTATTCTCTTTGAAGCAATTGTGAATGGGAGTTCACTCATGATTTGGCTCTCTGTTTGTCTATTATTGGTGTATAAGAATGCTTGTGATTTTTGCACATTGATTTTGTATCCTGAGACTTTGCTGAAGTTGCTTATCAGCTTAAGGAGATTTTGGGCTGAGATGATGGGGTTTTCTAGATATACAATCATGTCATCTGCAAACAGGGACAATTTGACTTCCTCTTTTCCTAATTGAATACCCTTTATTTCCTTCTCCTGCCTGATTGCCCTGGCCGGAACTTCCAACACTATTTTGAATAGGAGTGTTGAGAGAAGTCATCCCTGTCTTGTGCCATTTTTCAAAGGGAATGCTTCCAGTTTTTGCCCATTCAGTATGATATTGGCTGTGGGTTTGTCATAAATACCTCTTATTATTTTGAAATAAGCCCCATCCATACCTAATTTATTGAGAGTTTTTAGCATGAATGGCTGTTGAAAACTGTCAAAGGCCTTTTCTGCATCTATTGAGATAATCATGTGGTTTTTCTCTTTGGTTCTTTTTATATGCTGGATTATGTTTGTTGATTTGCGTATGTTGAACCAGCCTTCCATCCCAGGAATGAAGCCCACTTTGTCATGGTGGATAAGCTTTTTGATGTGCTGCTGGATTCAGTTTGCCAGAATTTAGTGAGGATTTTTGCATCAATGTTCATCAAGGATATTGGTCTAAAATTCTCTGTTTTTGTTGTGTCTCTGCCAGGCTTTGGTATCAGGATGATGCTGGCCTCATAAAAGAGGGAGGATTCCCTCTTTTTCTATTGATTGGAATAGTTTCAGAAGGAATGGTACCAGCTCCTCCTTGTAACTCTGGTAGAATTCGGCTGTGAATCCGTCTGCTCCTGGACTTTTTTTGGTTGGTAAGCTATTAATTATTACCTCAATTTCAGAGCCTGTTATTGGTCTATTCAGAGATTCAACTTCTTCCTGGTTTAGTCTTGGGAGGGTGTATGTGTCGAGGAATTTATCCATTTCTTCTACATTTTCTAGTTTATTTGCATAGAGGTGTTTATAGTATTCTCTGATGGTAGTTTGTATGTCTGTGGGATCGGTGGTGATATCCCCTTTATCATTATTTATTGCATCTATTTGATTCTTCTCTCTTTTCTTCTTTATTAGTCTTGCTAGCAATCTATCAATTTTGTGGATCTTTTCAAAAAACCACCTCCTGGATTCATTGATTTTTTGAAGGGTTTTTTGTCTCTGTCTCCTTCAGTTCTGCTCTGATCTTAGTTATTTCTTGCCTTCTGCTAGCTTTTGAATGTGTTTGCTCTTGCTTCTCTAGTTCTTTTAATTGTGATGTTAGGGTGTCAATTTTAGTTCTTTGCCACTTTCTCTTGTGGGCATTTAGTGCCATAAATTTCCCTCTACACACTGCTTTAAATGTGTCTCAGAGATTCTGGTATGTTGTGTCTTTATTCTCATTGGTTTCAAAGAAATCTTTATTTCTGCCTTCATTTCGTTATGTACCCAGTAGTCATCCAGGAGCAGGTTGTTCAGATTCCATGTAGTTGAGTGGTTTTGAGTGAGTTTCTTAATCCTGAGTTCTAGTTTGATTGCACTTTGGTCTGAGAATAGGTGCGGTGTGGTGCTGAGAAGAATGTATATTCTGTTGATTTGTGGTGGAGAGTTCTGTAGATGTCTGTTAGGTCCACTTAGGTCTATTAGGTGCAGAGCTGAGTTCAATTCCTGGATATCCTTGTTAACTTTCTGTCTCATTGATCTGTCTAATGTTGACAGTGGGGTGTTAACGTCTCCCATTATTATTGTGTGCGAGTCTAAGTCTCTTTGTAGGTTTCTAAGGACTTGCTTTATGAATCTGGGTGCTCCTGTATTGGGTGCATAAATATTTACGATAGTTAGATCTTCTTGTTGAATTGATCCCTTTACCATTATGTAATGGCCTTCTTTGTCTCTTTTGATCTTTATTGGTTTAAAGTCTATTTTATCAGAGACTAGGATTCCAACCCCTGCCTTTTTTTGTTTTCCATTTGCTTGGTAGATCTTCCTCCATCCCTTTCTTTTGAGCCTGTCTGTGTCTCTGCATGTGAGATGGGTTTCCTGAATACAGCACACTGATGGGTCTTGACTCTTTATCCAATTTACCAGTCTGTGTCTTTTAATTGGAGCATTTAGTCCATTTACATTTAAGGTTAATATTGTTATGTGTGAATTTGATCCTGTCATTATGATGTTAGCTGGTTATTTTGCTCGTTAGTTGATGCAGTTTCTTCCTAGCATTGATGGTCTTTACAATTTGGTATGTTTTTGCAGTGGCTGGTACCAGTTTTTCCTTTCCATGTTTAGTGCTTCCTTCAGGAGCTCTTGTAGGACAGGCCTGGTGGTGACAAAATCTCTCAGCATTTGCTTATCTGTAAAGGATTTTATTTCTCCTCCACTTATGAAGCTTAGTTTGGCTGGATATGAAATTCTGGGTTGAAAATTCTTTTCTTTAAGAATGTTGAATATTGGCCCCCACTCTCTTCTGGCTTGTAAAGTTTCTGCTGAGAGATCAGCTGTTAGTCTGATGTGCTTCCCTTTGTGGGTAACCTAACCTTTCTCTCTGGCTGCCCTTAACATTTTTTCCTTCATTTGAACTTTGGTGAATCTGACAATTATGTGTCTTGGAGTTGCTCTTCTTGAGGAGTATCTTTGTGGCATTCTCTGTATTTCCTGAATTTGAATTTTGGCCTGCCTTGCTAGGTTGGGGAAGTTCTCCTGGATAATATGCTGTAGAGTGTTTTCCAACTTGGCTCCATTCTCCCCATCACTTTCAGGTACACCAATGAGACGTAGATTTGGTCTTTTCACATAGTCCCATATTTCTTGGAGGCTTTGTTCATTTCTTCGTATTCTTTTTTCTCTGAACTTCTCTTCTTGCTTCATTTCATTCATTTGATCTTCGATCCCTGATATCCTTTCTTCCAGTTGTTCGAATTGGCTACTGAAGCTTGTGCATTTGTCACGTAGTTGTTGTGCCATGGGTTTTCAGCTCCATTAGGTTATTTAAGGAGTTCTCTGCATCGGTTGTTCTCATTAGCCATTCATCTAATCTTTTTTCAAGGTTTTTAACTTTGCGATGGGTTTGAACTTCCTCCTTTAGCTCGGAGAAGTTTGATTGTCTGAAGCCTTCTTCTCTCAACTCGTCAAAGTCATTCTCCGTCCAGCTTTGTTCCATTGCTGGTGAGGAGCTGCATTCCTTTGGAGGAGGAGAGGCAATCTGATTTTTAGAATTTTCAGTTTTTGTATTTTGTTTTTTCCCCATCTTTGTGGTTTTTTCTACCTTTGGTCTTTGATGATGGTGACGTACAGATGGGGTTTTGGTGTGGATGTCCTTTGTGTTTGCTAGTTTTCCTTTTAATAGTCAGGATCCTCAGCTGCAGGTCTGTTGGAGTTTGCTGGAGGTCCACTCCAGACCCTGTTTGCCTGGGTATCAGCAGCGGAGGCTGCAGAACAGCGAATATTGTTGAACAGCAAATGTTGCTGTCTGATCGTTCCTCTGGAGGTTTCATCTCAGAAGGGTACCTGGCCATGTGAGGTGTCAGTCTGCCCCTACTAGGGGGTGCCTCCCAGATAATCTACTCAGGGGTCAGGGACCCACTTGAGGAGGCAGTCTGTCCATTCTCAGATCTCAAGCTGCATGCTGGGAGAACCACTACTCTCTTCAAAGCTGTCAGACAGGGACAGTTAAGTTTGCTGAGGTTTCTGCTGCCTTTTGTTCAGCTATGCCCTGCCCCCAGAGGTGGAGTCTACAGAAGCAGGCAGGCCTCCTTGAGCTGAGGTGGGCTCCACCCAGTTTGAACTTCCCAGCTGCTTTGTTTACCTACTGAAGCCTCAGAAATGGTGGACACTCCTCCCCCAGCCTTGCTGCTGCCTTGCAGTTCGATCTCAGACTGCTGTGCTAGCAACAAGGGAGGCTCTGAGGGTGTGGGACCCTCCAAGCCTTGCACAGGATATAATCCCATGGTGTGCCATTTGCTAAGACTGTTGGAAATGTGCAATATTAGGGTGGGAGTGATCTGATTTTCCAGGTGCCATCTGTCACAGCTTTGCTTGGCTATGAAAGGGAGTTCCCTGACCCCTTGTGCTTCCCGGGTGAGGTGATGCCTCGTCCTGTTTTGGCTCACACTCGGTTCACTGCACCCACTGTCCTGCACCCACTGTCCGACAGGTCCCAGTGAGATGAACACGGTACCTCAGTTGGAAATACAGAAATCACCCGTCTTCTGCATCGCTCACACTGGGAGCTGTAGACTGGAGCTATTCCTATTTGGCCATCTTGGAACTGCCCTAATGGTCTTTATTAATAGAGAATTCTAAACCTGGAAACAGTTTTCCATAGTGAACTTCTAGTAAATATATTTACACAAGCTCTTAATGTGACTTCTAGGAAAACAGAGGCTAGAAACCGATGATTATGTATGAAACACTTGAGCTAATGTCCTCAGAAGAGAAGTTGAATAAGGACACCCTTCATTGTTTATAGCAGTGTTACAGGTGGGCAGATAATTCATTCTCCATTGTGAGATATTTAAGATGTATGAGTTCCATGATGGAGCACCCTTTAGATTATTAGCAGAGAGACTGGCTGTGAAGGGCCAAGCCAGGTCCTTTGATTCATCCACAGGCCTCTTCCAGCCCATGTTCTTCCTAAGAGGAAGCTACAGATTAGAATAAAATGCAACCTTTCTAACATGTCTCTGAAGCCTTTACGTCATCTGACACCCACCTAGTTTGGGACCATTCTCTTCCTTGCTTGGTATGCACTAGCCAGTGATGTTTGAATGTCTTTTTTCTTTAATTCATAAAGGAAATAGGTTTAATTGACTCAGTTCTGCATGGCTGGGGAGGCCTTAGGAAACTTACAATCATGGTAGAAGATGAAGGAGAAGCAAGTACCTTCTTCACAAGGCATCAGGAGAGAGACAGAGCTCAAGGGGAATTTGTCACTTTTAATCCATCAGATCTTTTGGGAACTCCCTCACTATAATGAGAACAGCATAGGGAAAACTGCCCCAATGGTCCAGTCACTTCCCACCAGCTCCCTCCCTTGACATGGTATTACAAATTCTGATGAAGTCTGGGTAGGGACCCAGAGCCAAACCATTTCACCCATAGATCAATGAACTCAAGAAATCATGTTAAGTGCAATGACACTGCAGAAGGAAAGATCAGTGACCTTGAAGATGAAGCAATAAAAATTATTTAATTTTGCAGGCATGGTGGCATGCACCTATAATCTCAGTTGCTGGGCAGTCTGAGGCAGGAAGATCATTTGAAGTTAGGAGTTCAAAGCTGCAGGGTGGTATGATTACACTGAAGAAAACCACTGCACTCTGGCCTGAGAAACATAGCCAGGCCCTGTCTCTAAAGCTAAAAAATTCAAAATTCAAAATAAACTATTCAACTTAAACCTAGAGAGAAAAACACAGATGGTGAAAAATCACAGAGTTCCAGTGACTTGCAGAGCAATATCCAGCAGTCTAACTCATATGGAACTATAGCCTCAGATGGAAAAGCAGTGGGGGAGTATAAAAATATTAAAATAAATAAACTGAAAATTTCTAATTTTCATGAAATATAAGTGCATAGACCCAAGAAGGTCAACAAATCTGAAGCAGCATAGGCATAAAACACCACCAAGTGCATGATAATTATTTTAATCAATGTAAAAGAGAATATCTGAAATCAGTCAGAGAAAAAGGGTCACACTTTATACATCAGAACAAGAAAGAGGTAACTATCAACTTCTGAACAGAGACAATACAAAATAGAGAAAATGGAACTGTGTTTTTACCATGCTAAAAGGAAAAGTCACTCCAATATTCTATATAGGGGGATAATACCCTTCAAAAATGGAAATGAAATAAAAGACATTGAAGACAAATAAAAGTTCAGAGAATTCACTGCCAGCAGACTCAAAGATAGGCTAAATGAAGTTCTTTAAACTGAAGTTCTTTATAATGATTGTGGATGGAAATTTAGATTTACACAAAGGAAGAAAGACAGCACTACATATTCATGGACTTGCTTTAATACACAAACAACAAACTTGGTGGTGGTACTGGTGAGAGCTGCAGAGCAACTGGAATATTCATAAATTTTTAGTGGGAATTTACCATAATACAGCCACTTAACAAAAACAGTCGGCAGTATTTTATAAAATTAAATATCTACTTACCATACAAACTAGCAATCCATCCTAAGTATTTGCCCAAATGAAATGAAAAGCTATGTTCATAAGAAAACCTTTACATAAATGTTTATGAGCCTTACATAAATGTTGTTCATAATTTCTCAAACTTGTAAACAACTCAGATTTTCTTCAACCAGTGAATGGATATACAAATTGCATTACATTCATCAAATAGAAAAGTATTCAATAACAAAAATGGATCAATGTTTGAAACATGCAACATCATGGATGGATTTCCAATGAACTATGGTAAATGAAATAAGCCAACTTAAAAGGGCTACATACCTTATGATTCTACTTATAAAACATCTGGCAAAGGCAAAATTATGAGCACAGGAAGCAGAGTAGTGGTTGTCAGGGCTGCATGTGTACAGAAGGGTTGTTTGTAAAAGGACACAAGATTTTTTTGGCCAATAAAACCACTCAATATCTTCATTCTGGTAGTGGTTACATGACTGCATACATTTGTCAAAATTCATAGAATTATGTATAAAGGGTAAAGTTTAATGTATGTAACTTATACTTCAATAAAATGAAAATTTTAAAAAGAGAACAGAATACAGTAATAGTCCTATAGTTGATTTGTGCAAATAGTACAAAGGAAATTCCATGGGAAAAAAAAAGTCTTTTCAAAAAATGTTGCTGGAGATACTGAATATATATCCATATGGAAGGATATGAACCCAGATCCTTGATTCACACTATATACTTAATTTAACTTGAAGTGGATTATAAACTTAAATGTAAAAGGTAACAGTATATAACTTCTAGAAGACATAGGAGAAGATGTGTAAGTCTGCATAGGGTAAGATTTCTCCAGACTTGAAAAACCGCATATAATGGAAATACATAGAGAATTCCTGTAATTCAATAACACAGAATGTAATAAAAATTACACATAATATTTGAACAGATACCTCATGACCATGTATGACCAATAAACAATATAAAAAGTATGAACATAAACAATATGAAATATGAAATGATGCTCAATATATTTAATTGCAGAAACATGCAAATAAAAACCACAATAATATACCATTATACACCCACTTATATGCCTAAAATTTTAAAAAGTAACAAATGAAGTGTTGGTTACAATGCGGAAGAATTGGAACTCTCATATGTTGCTTGTAGGAATGTAAAATAGTTCAACCTCTTTGGAAAATGATTTTTGCAGTTTCTACTTAATAAAAAATACTTATTATATAACCTAACAATTGCATTTCAAGTCATTTATCAAAAGACAGGAAAGTATGTATTCAAAATATTTATTCATTCATCTTATTTACAAAAAGACTTGTATACAGATTTTCACACTGTTTTGTTAAGATACCACCAAATTCAAAGTAACCCAAATGTATGTCAACAAAAATAGGTATCTTAATAAAATTATAGTAAGTTCACACAATGGAGGGTTACTCAGCAATAAAAAGAACTTATTGATACATGCTATAATATGGAAAAATCTCAAAAATTTGACATAATAGTACATATTTTGTGATTTCATGACACTAATCTATAATGCTAATAATCATGATATCAGAAATTTCCTATACCTGGAGGCAGGCAAGACGAACAGACTGCAAAGGAGTATGAGAGAATATTTTGGCATGAAGGAAATGTTATATATGATTCAAATGATGGTGATATGGATGTTTATATTTGTCAAAACATCAAACTATATTTTAAATGTATTTTATTATATATAAACTACACTTTAATAAAATGAATTAAGAAACAATAACGACAACACACAGAAAAAATGTAATTTGATAAATTTTAAAAAAATTCATTCCATAAGGAGTTTGATATTTCAGGATAATAGAAATACTAAGTCAAAAATGAGAGTTTATTCTTTCACTAATTATTATTTTTATTTTTTCTCTGAATAGTATTTTGAGTCCCTAACATGTGCTTTTTTGACTCTTTATGTAATTATATTTCTAAATTCTATAAGAAAATATGCTAAGTAGGCCGGGGGCAGTGGCTTATGCCTGTAATCCCAGCACTTTGGGAGGCCGAGGCGGGGGGATCATGAGGTCAGAAGATCGAAACCATCCTGGCTAACACAGTGAAACCCCATCTCTACCAAAAATAAAAAAATTAGCCGGGTGTGGTGGCGGGCGCCTGTAGTTCCAGCTGCTTGGGAGGCTGAGGCAGGAGAATGGCATGAACCCGGGAGGCAGAGCTTGCAGTGAGCTGGGATTGCACCACTGCGCTCCAGCCTGGGTGACAGAGCGAAACTCCATCTCAAAAGAAAAAAGAAAAGAAAATATGCTAAGTAAAATGGGCATTTCTCAACCATTGTTGAACTGTGTCAAGCATTCATTTTTAACGTTATGAGTGTTTAAATGTGTATCTTCTCTTTAAAAATTGAATCTGCTTTCTTATCCATTGTTTTAGTAGGATAAGCACATCTATGCCTATCTATATCAATCATATCTAACCAGTATAAGCACATTTTAGTGAAACAAATCATTTCTGTCACCCCATTAAGGCATTTTCCATTTTCCTCCTGAACCGCCATGAATACAGTTAATTTATATTATAACTCAGGATGTCTTTCAAGAAGCTATCTTTCCACTTGGTTTTCTTAATTTGAGGAAAGCAAATTCTTATTTGGGTTATGTGTCTGATGACATTGCAATTCATTTCATTTTCTTGTGTATGCCACTTTATATCGTCAAGTAGAAGAAAACTTTTCTGATTTTTTTTGAAAATATACAGTCAAAAAATCCAAGAAAAGAATTTATTTAAAATTAAAAGGAATACAATGCTGATTTAGTTGGTAGCAGAATAAATCAAATGAAATAACATATTTCAAATTCTTTTATAGGTTGTGTGAACATTTTAACTGCAAATATAGATATAGTAAAATTTAAGAAATCTGAAGTATATAAAACATATATTGAACTATGAAAAAATCACTAAATATATTTCTATATGATAAGGTAATTGCATTATTACTACTGGATTAAAATAACATAAAAGTCTATTTAACCACAGGGCTAGAATTTTCTTATGTCAAACATTACATACAAAATTATTAGAAAACACCTAGATAAATATTTCCTAATGAATTCAAATTGTTAAAATTATTGTTGGGCTTTTTCTTCTTTTTTAACTTTTAATTTGTATTTTTTTGTGGGTACATAGTAGGTGTTTATATTTATGGAGTACATTAGATATTTTGATACAGGCATTTTATGTGTAATAACCACATCATGGAAAATGGGGTATCCATCACCTCAAGCATCTATCCTTCTGTTACAAATAATCCAATTATATTCTTTTAGTAATACAATGTATAGCTTTAATGTACAATGAAATTATTCTGACTACAGTCACACTGTTGTGCTATCAAATAGCACATATTACTCCTTTCTATTTTTGTACCCATTGACCATTCCCACATATCCTCCAATCCCCCCATTACCCTTCCCAGCCTCTGGTAACTATACCTCTACTCTCTTTCTCCATGTGTTCAATTGATTTAATTTTTAGCTCCCACAAATAAGTGAGAACATGTGATGTTTGTTTTTCTTTGCCTGGCTTATCTCACATAACATAATGACCTCCATTTCCATCAATGTTGTTGCAAATGACAGGATCTCATTCATTTTTATGACTGAATTGTTCTCCATTGTGTCTAAGTACCACATTTGCTTTATTATTTCATCTGCTGATGGACACTTAGGTTGCATCCAAATCTTGGCTATTGTGAACAGTGCTGCAACAAGTATAGGAAAGCAGATATATCTCTTCAGTGTACTAATTTCCTTTCTTTTAGGGATATACACAGCAGTGAGATTATTGGATTGTATAGTAGCTCTATTTTTAGTTTTTTAAGGAAACTCCAAACTGTTCTCCATAGTGGTTGTGCTAATTTACATTCCCACTAACAATGTCCAAGTGTTCCCTTTTCTCCACATCCTCACCAACATTTATTATTGCCTATCTTTTGGATAAAAGCCATTTTAACTGGGATGAGATGATATATCATTTTAGTTTTAATTTGCATTTTTCTGATAATTTCAATGCTGTTGAACATCTTTTCATATACCTGCTTGCCATTTGCTTGTCTTCTTTTGAGAAATGCCTATTCAGATCTTTTGTCCATTTTTAAATCAGATTATAAAATTTTCCTAGATTTGTTTGAGCTCCTTATATATTCTGGTTATTAATCCAGTCAATGGAATGGGTGATTCCCCTCTGGCTACTTCTAGCCCAGATGCATCCTCCATGTATGAGCACTGGCTAAGTCCAGCATAGCTTTGCTGTGAGTTCACTGTGAAATCTCCAGTCCCCCTGCTCTCCCTCCCCAAAGTGCACAAACTCTGCACAGCTCACCGCTGCTGGGAAATGGGGGAGGGGTGCCATTGACAATTCAGCACTGTCTCTCTGACCCTTCTCAATACCTGTTTCAAAAACATGAAGTTAAAACCAGGTATTGTGATTGCTCACCTGATTTTGGTTCTTGTAACAGTGCTTTTCTTTTCAGTGCAGATAGTTGTGAAAATTTGGTGTGAGCTTCTACTCCACCATCTTACTTTGTCATGCCTTTGATTTTTAAAAAATATTGATCAGTGAATGATATTCACTTTTTTAATCCATCCATTTGAAATACAAACACACACACACACACACACACACATTTTGGTTTTCAAACAAAATTTCCCTAAAAGATTTAAAATGTTTAGAATTTTTAAGACATTTACCTAAGCATTGGCTTTCATGTCAGTGTATAGACTCAGTGATATAAAACATATTCATTCCTTCGCACAGTTATTTACACAGTACAGCATAACCTTTGCTTTCTCAGACTATCACAGATAGAAAAGTAAAAGAATGTGACAAACAATAACAATGTCACAAAATAATCACTTATTTCTGAAACTATCTGTATTATCACTAGGAGAATTCAACAGAGGATTCCAAGTTCCTAGGGAATGGCAGAGCCACAAGTTGCAAGCAGTCTAGGTCCCTAAATCATCACATGGAAGACCCTCCTACTGACCAGAAATATCACATTGGAATATTGTAAAATCAAGGATTAAATTTTTATTTTGTACAATACGTTATACTATTTGTTTAATTTGGAGATTTATTTCACAGGAGTTAACTAATAAACTTGCTCTCACAAATCTTAAGTACTAGTGAAGGGGGAAGAAAAAAGAAAAATAAATAATAGAAGTAAACAAATAAAAAATTAGTATAAATAAATATTACAGAATGACATAATAGCAGCTACTTCAGATTGAGTTAAATGAAAAGTCTCTTTGAGGAATTGATAGTTGAGACACTAACACTTTAAGGAAACAGCCTGGAAAGATCCTGGGACGAACCTATGAGAGACCAGCTATTGCCAGAACAAAGACACCTCTACTCAAATAAACTAGAAAATCTAGAAGAAATGGATAAATTCTTGGATACATACATGCTCCCAAGACTAAACCAGGAAGAAGTTGAATCCCTGGATAGAACAATAACAAGTTTGGAAATTGAGGCAGTAATTAATAGCCTACCAACCAGAAAAGCCCAGTAGCAGATGGATTCATAGCCGAATTCTACCAGACATGCAAAGAGGAGATGCTACCATTCCTGCTGAAACGATTCCAAACAATAGAAAAAGAGGGACTCCTCCCTAACTCACTTTATGATGCCAGCATCATCCTGATACCAAAATCTGGCAGAGACACAACAAAAAAAGAAAATTTCAGGCCAATATTCCTGATGAATGTCAATGCAAAAATCCTCAATAAAATACTGGCAAAACGAATCCAGCAGAACATCAAAAAGCTTATCCACCATGATTAAATCAGCTTCATCCCTGGGATGCAAGGCTGGTTCAACATACGCAAATTAATAAATGTAATCCAACACATGAACAGAACCAATGACAAAAATCACATGATTATCTCCATAGATGCAGAAAAGGCATTCGATAAAATTCAACAGACTTCATGCTAAAATTTCTCAATAAACTAGGTATTGATGGAATGTATCTCAAAATAATAAGAGCTATTTATGACAAACCCATAGCCAATATCATACTGAATGGGCAAAAGCTAGAAGCATTCCCTTTGAAAACTGGCACAAGACAAGGATGCCGTCTCTCACCACTCTTATTCAACATAGTGTTGGAAGTTCTGGCCAGGGCAGTCAGGCAAGAGAAAGAAATAAAGGGTATTCAAATAGGAAGAGAGGAAGTCAGATTGTCTCTCTTTGCAGATGACATGATTGTATATTTAGAAAACTCCATCATCTCAGCCCCAAATCTCCTTAAGCTGGTAAGCAGCTTCAGCAATCAATGTGCAAAAATCACAAGCATTCCTATACACCAATAATAGATAAACAGAGAGCCAAATCATGAGTGAACTGCTATTCACAATTGCTACAAAGAGAATAAAATACCTAGGAATACAACTTACAAGGGATGTGAAGGACCTCTTTAAGGAGAACTACAAACCACTGCTCAAGGAAATAAGAGAGGACACAAACAAATGGCAAAACATTCCATGCTCGTGGATAGGAAGAATCAATATCATGAAAATGGCCATACTGCCCAAGGTAATTTATAGATTTAATGCTATCCCCATCAAGGTACCATTGGCTTTCTTAACAGAGTTGGAAAAAAATACTTTAAATTTCATATTTAACCAAAAAGAGCCCTTATAGCCAAGACAATCCTAAGCAAAAAGAACAAAATTGGAGGCATCATGCTACTGGACTTCAAACTATACTCCAAAGCTACAATAACCAAAACAGCATGATACTGGTACCAAAACAGATATATAGACCAATGGAATAGAACAGAGGCCTCAGAAATAGTGCCACACATCTACAACCAACTGATCTTTGACAAACCTGACAAAAACAAGCAATGGGGAAAAGATTCCCTATTTAATAAATGGTGTTGGGAAAACAGGCTAGCCATATGCAAAAAACTGAAACTGGATCCGTTTCTTACACCTTATACAAAAATTAACTCAAGATGGGATTAAAGATTGAAACATAAGACCAAAAAGCATAAAATCCCTAGAAGAAAATGTAGGGAATATGATTCAGGATGTAGACATGTGCAAAGACTTCATGACTAAAATGCCAAAAGCAATGGCAACAAAAGCCAAAATTGACAAATGGGACTAATTAAACTAAAGAGCTTCTGCACAACAAAAGAAACTAGCATCAGAGTGAATAGACAACCTAAAGAATGGGAGAAAAATTTTGAAATCTATCCATCTGACAAAGAGCTAATATCCAGAATCTACAAGAAATATAAATAAATTTACAAGAAAAAAACAAACAACCCCATCAAAAAGTGGGCGAAGGATATGAACAGACACTTCTCAAAAGAAGACATTTATGCAGCCAACAAACATATGAAGAAAAGCTCATCATCACTGGTCATTAGAGAAATGCATATCAAAACAACAATGAAATACCATCTCATACCAGTCAGAATGGTAATCATTAAAAAGTCAGGAAACAACAGATGCTGGAGAGGATGTGAATAAATAGGAACAATTTTACCCTGTTGATGGGAATGTAAATTAGTTCAACCATTGTGGAAGACAGTGTGGCAGATTCCTCAAGAATCTAGAACCAGAAATACCATTTGACCCAGCAATCCCATTACTGGGTATATAATCAAAGGATATATCATTCTACTATGAAGATACATGCACGTGTATGTTTATTTCAGCACTGTTTGCAATAGTGAAGACTTGGAATGAACCCAAATGCCCATCAATGATAGACTGGATAAAGAAAATGTGGCACATATACACCATGGAATACTATGCAGGTATAAGAAAAGGATGAGTTCATGTCCTTTGCAGGGACATGGATGAAGCTGGAAGCTATCATCCTCAGCAAACTAACCCAGGAACAGAAAACCAAACCCCACATGTTCTCACTCATAAGTGGGAGTTGAACAATGAGAACACATGGACACAGGGAAGGGAACATCACACACCAGGGTCTGTCAGTTGGTGGGGGGCTAGGGGAGGGATAGCACTAGGAGAAATACCTAATGTTGATGACGGGTTGATGGGTGCAGCAAACCGCCATGGCATGTGTATACCTATATAACAAAGCTGCACGTTCTGCACATGTATCCCAGAACTTAAAGTATTAAAAAAAAAAAAAGCTTTGGCAGCATCTATTATTTCTGAACTTTTTAATAATCAGCACTCTGACAAGCAATGGGGAATGGATTCCCTAGTTAATAAATGGTGCTGGGAAACCTGGCTAGGCATATGCAGAAAACTGAAACTCCATTCCTTCCTTACACCTTATATAAAAATTAACTCAAGATGGATTAAAGGCTTAAATGTAAGACCTAAAACCATAAAAACCCTGGAAGAAAACCTAGGCAATACCATTCAGGACATAGGCATGGGCAAAGACTTCATGACTAAAACACCAAAAGCAATGGCAACAAAAGCCAGAATTGACAAATGGGATCTAATTAAACTAAAGAGCTTCTGCACAGCAAAAGAAACTAGTATCAGAGTGAACAGGCAACCTAGTAGAATGGGAGAAAATTTTTGCACTCTACCCATCTGACAAAGGGCTGATATCCAGAATCTCGAGGAACTTAAACAAATTTACAAGAAAAAAACAGCGCCATCAAAAAGTGGACATAGGATATAAACGGACACTTCTCAAAAACAAACAAACAAAAAGAAACAAAACTCATTTGCTTTATTTTTCTACTTTATAGTAGTCCTGACAGAAACATACTGAAGCAATCTGGGAGACAACCTGTGGTAGATTTTATGCTAAATGTTAATGTTACCTCTGTTGATTAAAAAAAAATGTGTTTATATATCATAGTTGAAATACAAACTTTAACACAGGCTAGAATAAGGAATTTTACAAATTCTCTTTAGAGAAACTAACTCTAAAGTGTTAGAGTTGAATTGTGCTCTGTTTCAACTCCCTTACCTCTCTAGTTTTCAGTTTATATTAGTTAACTTTTAATAACTTTGAAGGACCCTGCAAATTAATAATCTACATGAAGTATATTATTAGAGGGAAACTAATCTTACTGCTAAGCAGTGTGTTGAACTACATAGTGAATATTTGTGTTTTGGAATTTAAAAATTATTTAAGGTAATGGTGTTATGAATGGTTTAAGAATGTCTGGTGACTTGCTTATTTTAAGTTAGAAAAAATGTATTTGTAAGTGTTTCTTAAATTGCCTTTTGAACATTTTTAAACAGTGAATTTAAATAATGCATAAAATAAATTGCCATGTTCCAAAAAAAGAAGACATTTATGCAGCCAACAAACATGAAAAAAAGCTCATCATCACTGATCATTAGAGAAATGCAAATCAAAACCACAACGAGATCTATTTACTTTTTTCTTTCTTTTTTTGAATATACTTAGAATTGTTCCTTTAATGTCCTTGTGGGCCAAATTTATCAGCTTAGACATTCTGGTTTCATTTCTATGAACTGATTTTCCTGAGTTATGGATCAGAATTTCCTGCTTATTCACATGTACAATAGTTTTTGTTTGGCTCCTGAGCAGTATGAATATTACGTTGTTTAATACCTTGATATTGTTATTTTTCTTCGAACAGTGTAGATGTTTATTCTGGCAAGCAACTAATTTGCTTGTAAGTCAGCTTCTTTTGGGGTTTTTTTGAAGAGTTTTGAAGCCCTTTTTAGATTACAATAGCCTTTGGTTTACAGTTATTGTTCCTGCTGCTGAGTCACAACCCTTCTGCATTGTACCAAATATCCTAGTTGTTCAACGAAGTATGTAGGCTCTGGCTTGTCTACATGTAATCTTCTCTTAGTCCTGTGTAAACTCTGGGTACTATTGAGGTTATAGCTGCCCCATAAATTTTCTTTTGTGATGGTTCTTTGCAATCATAATTTTTAAAATAGCAGTAAAACCTGGATATTTTCAAGTGAAAGTTAAATATATTAAATTAAAAATATTTAGATAAAAATGAATTTAATATTTATGGTTGTGCTTTTGAAAGCATATCACAATACAATTAGAGCAAAATGCTAGAGTGGTCCAAATGTTCATTCTTTTATAAATAACATCTTCAAATAATCACTCTGGTAAATTAGAGAAAAGTGGTTCATTTCAATAATGTGAAATATAAGAAGGTCTCTATGAAATATAGTATGTTTTGACTGTTAAATGTTGAATCTTTAAATAATGTTCAGGTCCTATATTAAAACAATTTTATACTTTAAAAGTCAACTTGATGTTTCAATCAGTTTGAGGCACTGAAGTTGAATTCTTGAAGAGAAAAGACAGAAACACAGGCCACTATTTAAGAAGAAAAATTCTCAAGTGTGAAGAATCATTCTCAGAATATTAGCTTGCTTTTGCTCAGAAGACCAGTTATTGGTTGTACAAAACTTTTCCAAGAGAAACTCAGGACTGGAGACCAGATGACCCACACTAGGAAGAAATTCAGAAAAATTATTCTCCAAAAAAGAGGATTGCTGTAAGATGAAAGATATGTTAGTCCTTCCGTTAAAAATAAAATGAACTGGCTGGTTCAAATGCCATAAAAATAAGATGGCTGGGATAAGAACCTTGATGATCCTTTGGGTTTCAATGAAACTACAAGAAGCAAGATATCATTAATGTGAATAGAAGGCAATAAGACATTAAGGAAATGAAACAAGCAGCTGTCTGTTTGTTGAGAAAAAGAATCACAATAATAAAACAGCAAATGAATCCTGCTCATCAAGATATTTTAAATTTGCTTTCAAGAAATTTAGCACTATAAATATTTGTACTTTTTGTTTATTTACTCTGCATTACAAAGTTCAGACCACCAACTAAAAAGAAACAAGTCTGGCATAACTGTAGTGATAAGTTGAGGAATTTATTGAAATAATTTTACTATAGGGAGATCATATCAGTAAAAATTATAAGTTGGACACATTAAACAGTAGGTAGCCAAGTTTATCTTAATTTCCTTTGCTCCCTATTTTGCTGGCTTTTATATTGTAAGATAGACAGACCTCTTACATATTTTGCTATAGTTCAACTTTCCAGTATTTTGGGATGTGTATCTGGGGTTTCCATTGTCTACTCCTGTCACGAAACTTTATAACTTTGTTGGATGCCTGATCAGCAAAAGTCTCTTCATTCAGAAATCTTCCATGTCCCTTGAACCCAGGTCTGAGTCCTCCTTCAGAGATTCAGTTATCTGAGGTTTTAATTCTGTACTCATCACTGTGATTATTTTAATCCTGTTTGTGTCTCTCACTTTACTGAAAGTCCTATGCCCTCAGCATCTGTAATAATAGATATTTATTTGGCATTGTTTTGCCAGCATTAAGTGCTGCAGTGACTGCCACATAATAGGTGCTAAATAAATAAATTGTGAATTACCATAATTTGTTGTTGGATGAAATAAGATAGTTATTTCAGCTTACAGGGGACACATTCACTGCCCAGTGTTTTTTCCTTCTGATGCTAAGGAATATTTTTCTAACCTTTCCAGTTTTACAAGTGGAATCTGGTGGAAAATCAAGTAGTTGCATAGAAAACCATGTTGTTACCTTATAAACATTTTTTTCTAATAAACACTCATTCCTTGAAGACTGTCAAATCTAATAAACAATTTTTAACTGTTTAATCACCCTTCACTGCTACTAATTTGCTGATAATCACAAATTACATTTTACATAGCCTTGCCTTGAAAGGGTTTTGAAAAAATAGTAAAGTAAGAGAACTCATATTTATTGAGGATCTATTATGTGCTTGCTAGGCCTTTATATAATAATTATACTTAATCATTGTAACTACCCTAGGATGTGCAGATATGACCTCTCTTTTTATAGATGATAAAAATGAGACTACGTACTTAAAATATTTATCCGGCTTGGGGGTAGAAGAGACTCTATTACAATCCAAATCTATCTGATATCAAAGCTCCTAAATGCTCGGTCCACTCTTATAGTGTAGTGCACTAAATTTTTGTTCAAATTATGCTTCTAAGCTATAAAATAGTAGAAAAATGTCAAATACCATGTGCTATTTATACAGTGGATGAAAATGCTTTGCAATATATTAAAGGTGTAACTTTAAAAATCATGACATTTTAAATTGTTTGACTAGCTGGCTCCTTTCAGGAACTACTTCAGGATAGTGGAAGAAACTCTCCCATTCACATGTGACAAATGTCTTAGGTGGTACAGAGGTACATGACATTTCAAAAAATTAAAATTGTAATATCATAGCTGTGAAGACTTATGAATGATTATTCTCTTCAAGCCTCTACCTTGAAACATGAATTTGTTTAAGTTATTCAATATAGATGGTGAACCATTGTGCTTAAGTTTAAAACCCCTCCAGGACATGCCAGTATTTCATTTATTCTTCATCTGCCCAACCAAAACATTTGCCAGTGTAATTGAAACCTTTTCCTTGTCCATATGTAAGACAACTTCCTAACATCTCTGTGTGTCTGCTTAAATCAGTAAGACTATTACTTAAGATTAGACAAAGATGCACATACTCTGCAGGTTGGTTTGTCAGATTAACCTAGTAAAATTTGTGTTATTATAAATGACTCAAGTCCCACTAATGACCCTAAAAGTAAGTATATATTAACATATTGAGTTCAGATAGCTAAGTGAGTATTACTTGCATAGTGAAAAAAATAATTAAGTTTACTAAAATTATTTCATTTCGACCATATTCCATTGTAAAACACTGGGAAAAGTGTCTTAACTAGTTGAAATTATGAGTTTAAAAACCTACAAAATAAACCTTCTAAACTCTACACTACAAGAAAAGTAGTAATGATTATAACAAAATAGCAACATTTTCTTCTTACTCCTCAATGGAAGAAAAACACATGTAAACTCTAATGATAATGCCAGCAATGCTAAGATGTGTTTTAATGCTGACATTCTTTCCCTATTTTAGTAGTAGCATCAAATTATTAAATGAGACTCTAATGTATTGAACTAATTATTTGTATAAATATTCAATTAATTTAATATTTGTAATTATCAAGTTTTACTATCTTTTCCGCACTCCCACGAATGTAGGTAGAGTCAGGTTTAAGAAAAAATTGTATATTTGGATTATAGGAAATAGCAAAATTCAGGCTTTATTTTTAAAGCATATTTACTTTGGCATTTTTGTAGTACTGGTAGCTATCTCATTACCACTAATATTTTTAATAAGATATACTTGGATTTTTTTTAAGAGACAGTATCTTGCTATGTTGCCCAGACTAGATATGAACTCCTGGGCCTGGGTTATTCACCTGCCTCAGCCTTCCCAGTAGCTGATACTACAAGCATGCATCACAGGGCCCAGCTTGGGTATCTTGTTTTTAACCTCCCTATTTTTAATGATAATTAAGTTGGGACATGGAAGATATTTTTCTTTAAAGTGAATTTCAATTCATCCTGTTTTTAACTTCAGGATTCTATTTTACATATTTTAAGTTGTATATGAACAAATTACTTCATAGGTGTATTTCTGTTGAAGATGAGATTCTTAATCATTTTTCAAAAGTTCTTCCAAAAAGAGCAAAATAATGTAAAATAAGTAATGGGTCTTCATTATCATTGTTGTTAGTACCAGTTTCACTGTCATATTCGCGTCATCTTGTCTAAAGTACATTTCTGAGTATCAGTTTATGCATTTGTCAGTTCTGGGTAATGATCCCAAATGATCTACAGTGGTGCGCTGCTCTGGGCATTGGGAACCTTCTAATACTTGTTTCTTATCCTAGCTCTGTCTCTAACTATATCAAACTGGATAACTGACTCAACAGAATATGAGTAGTTTCCAATCAATTAAATTAGAGATTGACCCGGCAAATTTCTTAAGTTTCCTTGATTCTTAAAATTCTTTGATCTTCTGCTGTTGATTTGTTGGTCCTGTGTTAAGTCATTCATTATTTTTTTAAGCAAGAATTAAAGATCAGCTCAAGGTAAAAAGGACTATTTCACATGACACACTGATCATGGAATGATCATGGAATATTTGAGGAAATGATATGTTTTATTCTTTGCAATATACTGTTTAATAATGTACAATAGTAACAAACAGTGGAGTATTTTTTATCAGAATGTACATATTATAACATCACATGTGGAACATTTAAAAAATTTAATAACATAAATATCAAAAGTCTGAACTTAATTTTCAGACTCCTTTGTTTTAAAGAAAAATTTGACCCCACATTTATCTAATCAAACCAAGAGTAATTTTAATATTTTTCTTTTATATTTTCACAAACTCTATAACCAAAAAAACCCCCAAACTCTGTTATTTGAAAATACATTTACCCTTTACACTTAAATACAGCTGAATTATCATTAGCTTTGTATTCTCCATGTAAGATCATTTTTTAAAGAGAAACAATATTTGTGTTTCTCGTGAGTGCCTATAAAGATTAATTTAATTTTATAACAGATCTGTGAAGTGGAAATATTGTGATCACTTTTTCTGAAATAGCATCTTCTCTAGAGCACAAAACTAAAACTGTCTTGGCAGGTTGGGTAGCATTCTTTAATATTCTAGACCAGGAACTTAAAAAGATTCTATAACCAGTATATACACAGAGGAAATTTACAAGAGCCTGACTTAATTACTTGTGACTAAATGTTATGGTAAAATCTGAACCTTTTTTTATTCTCATAAGAGGATCCAAAGGTGGTTATTATTTGAGTTTTTCTGACTTGTTCACTTAATCATACAGAGTTCACAAGTAGAGACTGGTACAAGCTATCATACTGTTGACTTGGCGATTGGTCAAGGCTAGTTTATAGTGTACAATTAATAGCCATCATTGACATCATTTGTTCATGCATTGAATGCATACCTACTTGTACTAGACTTTCTGCATGTAGACTACTGAGGATGTAATGCCAAGTCCTTGTCCTGCCCCTTTAAACTCAGACTCTAAATACTCCATACTTAGCTCATTTTCTCCTCTATACAATTATTTCCCTTCCACCAACTGTCTTTCACTGTGGCTGGAAATACCATAACCATTCCATTGTCCTTGGCCAGAATGTCCTCTCCACTTACACAAAAGCTTTACTCTTCTTATGGTTTTTCCCCCACTTTGTATGTATTGATTCATTTAATTTTCTAGCATCCTGATAGAGTAGGTACTATTTTTATCCCTATTTTACAGATAAGGACACTGAGGTACAGAAAGACTAGGTAACTTACTCAAGGTTACACAACAAATAAGATAAAACTGGGAATTGAAATGGACATTTCGACTCAAGAGCCTGATCCTTCAACTAGTTTATTTCAGGAATTACCTATCCCTTGTCCTTTCTCCTTTTTCTTCATCTCTCCACCTCTTGTTCCCTCTTCCTTCTCTCCTCTTCTCCCCTTTTAATCTTCCCTCATTTTTTTTTCTGAAATAATCTAGTTCCCACCAGTGTTGTGTCCTGGCTAGAGATGTAACATGATATTTGCTTAAATGACATCCTCTATTCAGAGCTATCATTTACTGAGTTAGTACATTCTTGACCAGGATCATCCCTCTATGCTAGAGTTTGCAGAGGTGTCTGCATCTGTATTTGATCCCACTTTCCTCTACAATGTCCTTCATTATGATAACAAGGGTGCTTCAATATCTGCTGGATCTATGTTTCATTTTTTAAAAATTTTTCTCACAATAGGGGAAATTTGGCAGTCCTTCCATACCTTGCTGGAGTTCTGGGTATCTCAGTGGGCTTGCCTATACTGATCTCTCCACATAACTATCTCAATTCTGTTTTCCTGTGACATGAAATTCTGGGGAACTTTCTAGACCTTGATGCCTTCCAGGGCAAGCAGATGGGAAGACAGTACTGATGTCCTCCACTCTGGATCCTCACACTTATCAGAGATGATAAGCACCCTTCCCACCATCTTTGAAGATTTCCCTGTGGTGGATAGTGAAAAGCAGGGTACAGGATCTTTATTGATTTCTGTTTCACTTTTCTATCTCTTCTATGCTCAGCTTTTTAATTACTTCTCCCATCTGTATTGGCAGCTCTGTAATTATTATTATTTTAAATTATTCGGTCTTAAATCTAAACCACTGTTTTTATTAATTTATTGGCTTTACATTTTTTAAACTTGAGAAAATATCTCGATTTTTGGTTCTACTGTCCCTTAGAATCTAAAGTTCTACAAATAGTTGGGTCATTCATAGAATAAGAAGAAAGTGAAGGTGAAAAGCACTTCTATGAATAGTTTTGATAAGGTAACATCAAAACTTGTTAATGTTCCCTGGCATTAGCATCAGATTGGAAGTAAAAAAGGATGGTGTTGAGCCTGAGCTGGTAGGGAGCCAGGATGGTGAAAATGTTGTTTTAATGTGACAAAATAGATAGTAGGAAGGCATTTATTATTTTTGACAGAAGTAACATAACAGGCAGTTCATTTGGAGGACTTTTGTTCATTTAACCTGGTATGAAATGGAGAAGGGAGAATAGAGAAAGCAAACTAAGTACTTTATTGTCAATAGCCAATTTTTGTCGCCCTGAATGGATCGTATTTACCAATTTACATTAATACAGTATTTTTATTTTTCATAAAAAATTTATGTCTATCTTCCCACCAAAGATGAAATTATTTTTGAAGGCAATTTGATTTTTCCCATATTATATACTTCTTAAATGTATACTCATTGCATTTAAAACTGCCAGTAAGTCATAGGGTTTTAGTGGGTGATTTGTGTTATCATGTCATAACTTTTAACCTTGTTTTATAAAAAGAAAATGAATACTTGAATGTATCTGCCCTCATTTCTAAGTGACTGTCTCTTTTATTCATGGTTTGTTTCCTCTGATGAGGTTCTCAGCAGATAGTTTTTATCTTGGTGTTTTTATAGTTTCTTAATTATTCACTGTCATTTTTAAATGAATGCTTCAGGAATACTTGAGTATTTACATACTCTTTGTCACCTTGCTTAACTTTGTATGTCTCATAGAAGGGTCTTGATAATTATTGTAATAGAACTAGAGAGAAGTTATGTCAGCCTGCACATACCATTAGTGCATTAATGTGTCAAAATAGCAGTGAATGACACAGCTCTAGGCAGTCTTAAAAGCTACTAATGGCAGACCAACTCTAAGGAATTGATTTGTAAGCAATACTAAAGCTATAAAACTTTCTCCTTGATATATAGTTTTAGAAAGCCTTTATTATTCGCCTTATTTTTAGTAGATGAGTAATAGCTATTTGAATAAGTGAGCAATCCATAAAGACAACATGGTTGATATTCTTTTTGTTAAAGTAGCAATAGAAAATTTCAAACAGGAAAATGAACAAGGTAGCAGCATATTGAAATTAATTCAGTTGTTAACATTTAAACTGCAATTTAATCATGGGTTGAGTCTTTTAAGTTATTGTTTTGTGGTTAATAGGAATGGATTTAGTAATGTGGTTTGTCAAATCAATAGCTTTTTGACACCTAGAATAATTAAAGAGAAAAATATTTGAAAAGTGAAGGAAACTTTATAAATAGAAATTTATGATAAATAATGTAATAAATAAAATTTGTTGGTTTTAAAAACTGAAAAAAATTGACACTAAGAACATACAAAGTTTAAAAGCTAACTGACCTGATATTTTGTATGTGGAATTATAGATAAAAACGTACTGGTATTATTCTCCAAATAGCAGTCAGAGATTCTTATGGCACTTTATTGTCCTTAATTGAGCCAAGTTGTCTCACTCCCAGGCAGCTCTGTTAGATCAGGAGCCATTTCCTTCATGTTTGTCATTGTAGCTTCCTGAATTAATGTCAATGTCCAGAACAAATTAGAAGCCCAGTAATTTTTTTGATACAGGGTCTTGCTTTGTTGCCCAGGCTGGTTTTGAACTCCTGGCTCAAGCAATTTTCCTGCCTCAGACTCTCTAGTAGCTGGGATAAGCACGAGACACTGCAATAAAAACAGCCCAATAAATATTTTTAAATGGGCTGGGTGCAGTGGCTCACTCCTGTAATCCCAGCACTTTGGGAGGCCAAGTCGGGCGAATCACTTGAGGTCAGGAGTTCAAGACCATTCTGGCCAACATGGTGAAACGTTGTCTTTACTAAAAATACAAAAATTAGCCAGGCATAGTGGCACAGGCCTATAATCCCAGCTACTCAGGAGGCTGAGGCAGGAAAATCACTTGAGACCGGGAGGTGGAGGTTGCAGTGAGCAGAGATCGCCCCACTGCATTCCAGCCTTGGCAACAGAGTAAGACTCAGTCTTAAAAAATAATAATAATAATTAAATGAATGTATGAATATATGCTCTCTCCAGGGCCAGACCATATATATATATATATTGTTGTTGTTGTTGAGATGGAGTCTTGCTCTGTCTCCCAGGCTGGAGTGCAGTGACACCAGTGGCACAATCTTGGCTCACTGCAGCCTCCAACTCCCGTGTTCAAGTGATTCTCCTGCCTTAGCCTCCGGAGTAACTGAGATTACAGGTGTGTGCCACCACGCCTGGTTAAATTTTTTTTGTATTTTTAGTAAAGACAGGGTTTTCCCCATGTTGTCCAGACTGGTCTCAAACTCCTGACCTCAGGGGATCCACCAGCCTCGGTCTCCCAAAGTGCTGGGATTACACGTGTCAGCCACAGCACATGGCCTATAATTTTAATAAAAATAATTTCTTATAAGTGTCGCAAGAAGGGCACAAAGGATAATGCAAGTAAGAACATATGTTTTGTGTCTCATATTTCCTAAAGCTTGCTCCAAGTGTACAGCTATTGAAAGAACAAGCGACAATGTAGTATGGTACACTGTGCATTACAATTGACATTCAAATTTGCACTTAAAATGAATGGGTTAGATGAGTCTGTTTCCTAGGTTACCTTTAACCTTAAAATTTGTGACTCTGGTTTAGTTCATGGCCAAAGTTACTGCAAATATATAAAATGAAAATTACTACAAAAATTGATATTTTGAATGAACCTAGAAATAGTTCTTTCACTGAAAAATGAACTGACCTCAGAATCAGGTAGCTCCATAGCTCAAGGATTTTATTCCACTGTGAATGACAAGTGAGGGAAAACAAAAGGGAGATCCTAAGGAACTTTGAAATTTCCCTGTGTGCACTTAGGGACAATGCTGGACAAAAAAATTATGGGTTGCTTCATTTAATTTTATTTCTTTCCTTCACTACCACTTGCATCATCTGTTTGCATTAAGTGTTAAAAATATGGTGACTTTTCGAAACAATCTCTTTAATTGGGCTGAAAATACAGTATTACAATGTAAAAACAAAATGTAGAAAATATTCGACATAACATTTAGGTGTCAAGTGTGCTGTGTGTGTGTACATATATACATACCTCTCTCTCTATATATATACACACACACATACACACATAAGTATATGTGTATAAAAGTTTGTCTGTATAAAGGAAACATAGTTTCTAATATGTTCTAGCTGATGGAATTCATAAGGAACTTTATACTCAGTAGTACAAGTACCTTTTTTAAAAGTTAAAAAAAACAATATGGCATAGTTCTAAATTTTTTCACACCTTAAGATTACTTTAAATTTCTTATTCTAACTTTACAATATTTTAACTTTACAAACTGCATTATATCCTAACTTCCTGTTTTAAATTGCTCCCTCAACTTACAATTTACTACTCTGGAGACAGTGGTTGACTTTTTATGGTGTGATTATTTTCTAGTTGTTTCTTATTTCAATTCCCTTTTCTGCTTTCCCACTCTAAGCACCCACAAACACATGTACATATCTTTTCTCATTTACTTGATATGTGGTCTTTACAATGAGGCTGTCTTTCTGTGACAATGAAATTTTATATCTTGTTAAAAATTCCAGAATATTGTTTCCCAAATGGGTATACATTTCTGAATACAAGACCCTAAATCTGAAAAGCCAGAAGGAAAAATGACTTACTTGTAATATCCATAACTACTTATTATAATGCAACCTTATAGATTTACTGAGGTCATGATTTACAAGCGTGCAAATTCTTATAAGTAAGGTTTTCATCTCTGAAAGTGTTTTACACCACAACAAAATAGATTTGTAGTTCACTTAATTATAACTGTATATCTTTATAGAACTTATTAGTCACGTCTCACGTTCATCTTAGGGTGATCAATTCCAGATAAATTTTTGATTTTGTCAAAAGTTCTGATTATTTTGAATTTAGCTTGATTTCACTAACATCTTGGGTTTAAAGACCCATGCATGTTTCAAACAATTCATCCTCAGTGTTGTATTTTAATGTTTATATTCATCATATTTTATGAACTTTTAGATAAGATATACCAATTGGTACCCCCAGGACTTTGCGAGGTAATGTTAAGTTCAGGAGAAGCCAGCTGCAACTAAAGAAATTCAGACTTGACTGTGTATATGAGTTCTGGTGGTAATAAAAAAGATAAAAGTACAAAGTAATTGAAGGCTGAAAAAAAAATTGAGCCAACTGGCACAAAGAACTGTGATTTTTAACTTTTATTTAAACATCTACAGCTAGCATTTTCAAGTATGTAAAAGCCTATACCCTTGAAGCTAATAAAATATAAGGATATATGTAAATGATTCAGTTGTGTTTACTCTTCATTTAAGTCATAGTAAATCATATGCTTTATGAAAAATACTTTTATTACTAATAAAATGCAATTTACTTTTTCTTCTTCATGAGAAATTAGAAGTCTTAGGAAGAACTTCAATTCCTCCTTTTATAAACATTCTTTGGGCATCTACTTCCTTAGCGAGAAGAAAATCACTCCTTGGGTTTGAGGACAATACTCAACTCAGTGCTCTAGACATGATCCCCCTCCAGGTTCTCACACTTTATCAATTTCCTCTAAATTCTGTTTCTTCAGACTCCTTTCTCATTCATCTCCTTTCTCTTATTTCTGTAATCTCTCCAGCTGCTTACTCTCTCTCTTCAGTAATGCAATATATTCATGACGCTGGGACGTTTAGAACAAAAACAAAACCTCCTTTCATAGCATATTAGGAACTCTCAACCTCTCTTTCCTCATGGCCAGGCCTTAGAGAATAGGCCAAATTTACCGTCATTATCTGTTTACCTTCCAAGCTTGCATAAACCTGTTGTGGTCTGTCTTCTACCACTCAGTGGCAACTGATTTTGTCAAAGCCAGCAGTGATTCCTAAATGCAAAATCCAAAGACCATGTTTTTGAAGCATTGTTTCTGACTTTATATATTTTGTTTGTTTTATTTTGTTTTTACAGCACTGGGCACTGTTAATAATTTCCTCAATTCTTTTTTGGGGACTCATTTTGGCCTAGATTTGTGACATTGGCTAGATAGGCACTACTGCATAGTTTCTTATCATGAAAACTGTCAGAAATATCTGGATTTAGTGCCCTTGTTTTGCTGCTTATGGTCTAGATTACTTTGGTCACATTAATTTAATTTCTCTAAACTCAGTTTCCTTTTCTTTGAAGTGAAGATGATAATCATATCCACTTCATAGGATTGTTAGAATTAAATTTTTGAAATATTAAAAGGCTTTGAGATATGATCTATAATAAGATATATATGTATATGTGCATATGTATATATTTGGACTTCATCTGGTTCCCTGGCACACAGTAGAACCCTTGGGATCTCTGGAGTGATAGGAGAGTCTTCTGTATGTGAATGAGATGACTGGTGGCTGGGGACCCTAGATAGCTTCAGGATGGGGGCTGGTCACTTGAAAGACCAATGCATGATTAGAGGGTTGGGACTTTCAGTCCCATTTCCCAACTTCTGGGAAGCATGGGGAGGATGAAAGTTGAGTTGATCACCAATGACCAATGAAATCAATCAATCATGCCTATGTAATGAAGTCTCCATAAAAACCCCAAAAGACAGGATTTAGAGGGGATTCTGGATAACTGAACGAGTGGCAGTTCCTGGAGGGTGCCATGCCTAGAGAAGCCATGAAAGCTGTCTGCCCCTTCTCCCCTTCTTTACCTTGCCCTGTGCAGTTCTTCCCTCTGGCAATTTATCCTTCGTAATATTCTTTATAATAAATGGTTAAATGTAAGTAAATTGTTTCCCTTAGTTCTGTGAGCTGTTCTTGGAAATTAATCAAATCCAAGAAAGGAGTCATGGAAACCCTAATTGATAGCTAGTCAATAAGAAGCACAGGCCACAATCTGTTCTTGCAACCAGCATCTGAAGTAGGGGCAGTCTTGTGGGACTAAGCCCTTAACCTGTGGAATCTGACATGCTCTCCAGGTAGATAGTGTCAGAATTGAATTGAACTAGAAGACATCCAGCTGGTGTCTGCTGCAGAATCATCTGCAGAATTGTATGAGGTGTGTGTGTTGTGGGGAAGCTCCACACATCTGTAGTCACAGAATTATTCTGTATTGTGAGAGTATAGTATGAAAAAAAGATTTTAGATTTTCCTGTATCACAGGATTATTTTACTGTCTGGTGTACGCTAAGCCCTCAATAAGTGATAGCTATTACTAATATTTTTAAACCATGAAGATACTCTTTCGTCCCCCTTCCTTCTTCTTCCTCCCACCCCTATCTTTTCTTTATTTTTGCTTTCCCTTCTCTTCCATTCATTTTCCTCTTTTCCCTCCCTTTCCTCTTCTCTCCTCTGTTCTCCCTTCTTCTCAGTTTCTTTTCATTAACACTCACATACTTCAAACACAATCCTAGCTTTAGCTACTATGATATCCCAAATCTGTTGATCCAGACCACATCTTTCCCAAGTGCTTCCAAGCTACATATGCATTCCATGCTAAACATTTACAGTCAGGGATTTCATAGGCACCTTAAAGACAGCATGCTCCAAACTGAAGTGAACGCTTCTCACAATTACCCTCTCATTTGCTCATTGCCTACCTTTCCTATCTTAGTTATTGATGCCAATCATGTAGTCCTGGTAGTTCTTTAATTTTACTATGTGTCATCTTTTATATGACCATTCTTATATCCTCTAGTTTATCATCTCCTTATTTTTCACCTAGATTTTTATAATGGCCTGTTATATGGGCTCACTACCTGTGGTTTTACACACTTCTAATTCAATGTTCAAACTGTTGCCATTTTGAAACTTTCAAAGTGCAAGTCCAATTTTCTTATATGACTTGTTAACTTCTTACATTTTCCTTATACAATTTCAAGATTATAAGAAAAAAAAGTTGAAAAAACAGCAAAGCATGCAGGTCCTTTCCTAGTAAAGTCACTACCTATCCCTCCAGCCTCATCTCTCACCACCTTCCACATGTAACAGCTGCTCTTTAAGGAACTTGCAGCTCTCCAAATATGGCATGCTTTTCACAGGTATCTCTCTACACTAGGAATTTTTTTTCTTCCTTTTTTTCTTGCAAAATCGTACCAGCTCACAAACATTTTTTTTTATGTAGGAAATTAATTATGTTAATTACATAATTGCTCTGTTTTCTATATATTTTTATTTTGTTTGTTATTATCTATGTATGGTAAGCGATCCTCAAGTAATACATTTTGATAAATGCTTGACATGCTTGAAAATAATTTTTATTCTGCAGGTATTGTGCATAACGATGTTTTATATATACCAATTAAATAAAGTTGGTTAATCATGTTTAAATCTTCAAAAGTGTTACTGTTTTTTTGTTGTTGTTTATTTCTGTTTATTCTACCAGTTACTGAGAGAGGTATACTAAAATCTCCTACTATGACTGCAAATATATGGATTTCTTCTTACTCCTCTGTTAAAATTTTCTTTATATATTTTGGAACTTATTATAAGTTACAAAGAAACTCAGGATTGTTTTACTTTCTTATTGAAATTATTATTGTATCCTTATGAATTATCTTGCTTTTTATCTTTAGTTTTTTTCACCATAAATTCTTCTTAATCAGATATTAACATAACCATTCCTCTTGATTTTAATTAGTATTTTGTAGTACAGTTTTTTCTGTTCTTTTACTTTCACTTTTCTGTGTCTTCATAATTTAAGCATGTTTCTTGTAAATAGCATGTACTTTGGTCTTACTTTTTAAACCTATTCTGATAGTGTCTCTGTTTTGATTATAGTTTTTAGTACTTTTTGAATTTACATAATTACTAAAATAGTTGTGTTTAAATCTTACTATACATTTTCTATTTCTTCCATGTACTTTGGCATTTTCACTCCTCCCTTTTCTCTTTCTTTTGGATTAATTGAATATTTTTATTCCAGTTTTTCTCCTTTGTTAGCTATTATTATTATTAGAGATGGGAGTTTGCTCTGTTGCCCAAGCTATAGTGCAGTGGCATTATCACAGCGATGTACAGCCTCAAACTCCTGGGCTCAAGCTATCCTCCCGCCCCAGCCTCCTGAGTAACTGGGATTACCGGCGTGAGCCACTGTGCCCAGCAGCTTTAATTATATATTGCTATATATTATCGATTCTTCCCTGTATTCCTTTTTAGTGTTTATACTTAAGATTTCAACATACAGGGGCACAAACCCTATTGTGAACTGCACATGTGAGGGATCTAGGTTGTGTGCTCCTTGTGAGAATCTAACTAATACCTGATGATCAAGGTGGAACAGTTTCATCCTGAAACCATCTCTCCCACCCCCAGTCCATGGAAAAATTGTCTTCCATGAAACTGGTCCCTGGTGCCAAAAAGATAGGGGGCTGCTGCTCAAGACTATAGAGTTTTAGGTTCAGTAACCCCAGCATTATATCTGTGATGTATAGAAGGTAAAGTGTACATGTGAATGAATCAATGATTTGCAGTTATCTACACACTACCACACAGATTATTAGATAATTTAGAATCTTATGTTCCACACTTTTACTTCCTTTTCCTTCTACTGTCCTAATGCAAGCCCTTATCAGTTGTTGCTAGAAAAAATTAAAATGGTTTGTTGTAATGATTTGCTATAAACACTTTCTCCATATCAATATATAATTTAGGGCCAAAGATGCAATATTGAGCCTGACAAGAATGTATCAACTTACCCTGGTAATGTTAACCCTTCTTCATATCATATCAAAGGAGTAAAACTGTGGAACACAGATTCTAAATTCTCTAATAATCTGTGTGCTAGTGTGTAGATAATTTCAAATCATTGATTCATTTACATGTAGACTTCGCCTTCTACATATCACAGACATAATCCTGGGGATACCGGCTCTAGAAACTCTATAGCCTAGAGCAGTGGTCCCCAATCTTTTGGCACCAGGTGTCAGTTTCGTGGAAGACAATTTTTCCACGGATTAGGGGTGGGAGGGTTGGTGGGGGTGCTTAGTAGAGTGTTCTGTTCTTACTAGGCACTTAATGGTATATGTAAAGTCATTGATAAGGTTTCAATGTTCTTAAATTTTTGAAAATTAATTCTAATAATCAATTGAATAACATTTTTACCCGGATTACCTTATTATGAGATGTTATCTGTAATTCTGAAGCACAAACCACTATTTTTCCCCTTCAAAGTGGCTGCCTCTTTTCATCTCTTTGAAGTGTGGCAAAAATAGAGAAAGCCTTGTCAGTATTTTTTGTTTTCCCTTATATTCCATAATATTAAAAGTGCATATTTGTCTTTATTTAAAATCAATTTCCGTGAGTAACTTTCTAGTGTTAACACCTAAAAAAAGGCTTTGTTTTTAGATTTTTGTATATTGTATACCACAAATCCTCATTAAGCTATTCTTTATCACACTTTTCTTTCTCATTTGTAACTTCTCTATGATTCTCTGAACAATGTGCTAATGAAACTTCACTGTTCTTTATGGTTTATGTTAAGGCAAGACATTATTACAATTTCTTGTAAGATTTTTGTGAACCTAATTGAAATTTAGAACGTCAGTTGTCATTTTTATAAATTGGGTGTCTAAAGCTCATAACAATGAATAAAGTTTTATCTTGAAACCTTGAATGGAAACTTGCTGTATTATATAAATTTCCATCTGAAGTTTCCACACTGACCTCTTAAGAATTCTGGGGAAAAAAAAAAAGTCAAATTCTTTTCCACCTTTGGGAAGGAGCTACAGACTGTCAGGAGTGCAAAGACAGAAACGGACCAGGTTCAAAATCGAAACCCTGGAGAGACATAAGCCCATAGAAATATGTAGGGGCCAGATTGGGCCTAACAGTGAAGGCGATGCTGTAGAGCAGGAATTTAGCTCTGAGTACATTGGTAACACATTAAAGAACTCAAATACACAACAATAGGAAAATAGGAAAATGGTTAATTAATTACAGTTAATTCACTCAGAAGAACATTATGCAGATTTTAAAAAGACAATGAAAACAGTGTAGCAAAGGGAAGAATTTTTATGATGCAAGAGATGGGTAGTTAGAGTGTTTGCTTCTCTACAGATAATCAGAATACTTTGGCCCTCTAGTATAAAGCACTATTAAAGTATATTTTCTGTGCTGATTATTTTTAATAGGTAAATTTTAGTTCATAATCGTGGATTTATATTTTGTATTTTCATGCTATAATTAATAAAAATTATTTTTTGTTCAAACAAATTCTACTTATTTTGATAACATCATTATGTCGTTATAATTCTAAACATACTTTTTATTAAGTTAATGAAATGGTGAATAATAAACTATTTTGAATAACACAGTAATACTGAATTAATAATTAATATTTGTTGATATGGTATGTTGCATTTTTATTCTCATTCAATCCAAAATGTTATCTAATTTGCATTCTGATTTTTTTACCTGTACATATATTGAAATGTATTGCTTAATTTCAAAACATTTGAGGAAAAGAGTCTAGTTATTTTTTATTGATTGATTTCTATATTCAAAGATAGTGAATAACCATATTTTGAATAATTTTTGTAGTATGAAATGTGCCATAGATGTGTCATGTGTCCATTATCTGTCATGAACCAATATATGGTAAACTCTGGTGAATGTTCCATGTACACCTGAAAATAGTGTGTATCTTTTTTTAAATAGACCAATTCAGTATTCTCAATATTTCAGTCATGCCTATTTCATAAATTATTTTGTTTGGATTTCCTATACCCTTATGGATGTATTTGCTGTATTGGTTACTATGGCATAATAAAGAATTTGCCTGGTCTTTGTTCCAGGTTCCTTCACAAACCTCTGGAATTTCCTGAATGATAGAAATAAGGTGACTCATAGTGGGCTCCTATATAGCTTCAACATGGGGACAGGTCATGACACAGACTAACCACATGGTTAGAAGATAGGGACTTTTGGCCACAGGACCTCTGGGGCTGGGGAGTAGCGGGCGGCTAAAGATTGAGCTTAATCATGTGACTGATGATTTAATCAATTGTGCCTATGTAATACAACCCCAATAAAATCTTTGGATGTTAAAGCCCAGTGGAGCTTCCTGATTGGCAAACACTTTGATGTGTGGCAATGGTAACATGCCCTGACTCTTTGTGGGGAAGGCATGGAAGTTCTGCATTCAGGACTTTCCTAGACCTTACCCTATGTGTATCTTTCATAATATTAATAAAACTGTCATCATATGTATAGCACTTTTCTGAGTACTATGAGTCTTTCTAGCCCCTTATCAAGCCTGAGTGAATCATGGAAACCCCTGAATTCATAGCCAATTGGTAAGAGTGCAAGTGGCATGGGGACCCACTAGGGCTTGCAGCTGGCATCTGAAATGAGGGCAGTCTTATGGAGGATTTTGCCCTTTAACCTGTGGGATTTGCACCAACTTTGGCTAGTTAGTGCTGGAATTGTATTGCAGTTGAAATTGGATTGTAAAACAACTGAAGTGGAGTAGTTACTGAGAAAGATGTGTTAAGAGCTGCAATCAGTTTTGGATTCATTATTTTCGTTTTGTCAATTTGTTCTGTGTATATTTTGAAGCTATGTTAGATATATACAATTTAGAATTGTTATATCTTCCTGGGGGGAGTGATTCTTTTATAATTATGAAATATTCCTAGTTATCTCTAGTCATAATTCTGGTGTTAAAGTTACTGGCATATTTTGGTTTGTGTCCTCGTGGTTTAACTTCTTCTAACTTTTTTCTTTCAATTTTTGATGTCCTGTTTGTTTTATTCTGTTTTTGTTTTTTTAGAGAAGGGATCTCACTATGTTTGACTACTTCAAACTCTTGGGCTCAAGTCATCCTCCTGCCTCAGCCTCCCAAGTAGCTGGGATGATAGGCACATGCTACCACACCCAGTCCTATGTCCTTATCTTTAAAATTTGTCTCTTATTAGCAGGATATAGTTGGATTGTAAAAAAATTCAAGTCTTATGATTTTCAAGTTTGGATTACATATTATATTATGACAATATATTTACTGATATATTTGTATTTACATTCTCCTTTGTATTATTTTTAATGTATTGCTCCATCTGTTTTGTCTTTGCTTTCCTTTTTTCTTGCTGCATTTGAAATGGTCAAGTTTTTTTTAATTCATTCTCTCTCTCTATTAGCTTATTAGTTATACATTTTATACTACTTTGTTAGTGATTTACAGATCATAACATGCATCTTAACTTACTGGAGTCTAATATAACAGTCCATTTGCCATTTTCTAGGCAATTCTAAGAGTTTAGAATACTATGGTTCCTTTTATGATTGGTATTACTTTTGTAATGCATTTTAATTCTCCATGTACATCATTATTTATTATAGTCATTATTTATTTAGATTTAACTATATAAAACACTTTCCATTTGTGTTTTCAACTTGGATAGTTTTTTTTTATTTCTGCCTAAAGAATGCCTTTTAATTTTTCACTTAGTTTATTGACATCAATTTTTTCAGTTTTTATTTGTCTGGAATTGCCTTTATTCTGCCATCGTTTTTGAAAGCTATTTTCTTTGCATGTGTAGAAGTTCAGGTCGGCGCCTCCAATCTAAACCTCCATGTCCCAGCTGTAAGCCTTGTCTCTAATGCATCTTTGTACTGTTGATCCTATTTCTTGATCAGCCTATTAACTTTTTGTTCATCCAGAGATTGCCCACAAAAATTGTAGAGTCTCTAGATAACAATTTTCTTTCTTCAGAGAAAATTTACACTGTTCTATTGTAGGCAGCTAAAGTAGGACAGATTACCTCAATCCAGTCAGTGTCTAAGCTGTCTTGAAGTGAGTTTGCAGTTTTTGTAAACATAGGCTATGTTTGGTTCACACTCACTCCTACATTTCCACAGATCTAACACAGTGTCTGAAGCCTTTTTTTTTTTTTTTTTTTTTTTTTTTGGTCTCCTATTTTCTGGTCCTGAATTCTTGCTGGTCCTCAGACCATGACTGCTGAAACTATGTAACAATAGTAGCTAGTCAATTTTATATAAAAACCTCTTCGAAATGAAAATACATAGGATAGCCATTGTACAACTAAATATCCATAATAAATAATAATTAATTAGTTGATAAGCCACTAATACATCCACTAATAAATTAATATACATGGCACAATGTCAAGACCACCACTTAGGATACAGCATGCCTCCTGGAGTTGCACAATATAGTAGTACTGACCTGTAGTTAGGTTAATTTTACATTTTGAGAAAAGGAATAAAAAATATAAAGTAGTTTATTCAAAATACATGCAACTGTTACACACTATGTGTCAAAATTACATATTCAAAGTAGATAACTCATTATAAGGACAATATCAGTGCACAATTTCAATGCATAGCAGTCCAAACAATGCCATTGAGAACTTAGGAACTTTGCATTCTCCAGCATGCATCCAATTAAATCTGCCTTTGTCATCCTATACTCCTGTTTGTATCTGAGTCCCTCTTTCCTTTTTCTTCTCTTTTCTCTCTATTAATTTTTCAATAATCAATATCCCCAGAAATCTTCAGCCAAGGACTATCAACTTCTATTTTCATATTCTGGGTTAGATAAACTAAGTTTCTTAAAAAGTACATATTTGCTGAAGTTGTTCATTATTGGGACAATAGTAAGCAAACATCACCTGAGGGTACTCATGATAAAAATGGTAGGAATGCCATTTGGGGTGATTTGAGTCATTTTAAACACAAGGATTTTCCAAACTATGAAAAGACAAAAGAAAAAAATGAAAGCATTAGCTCCTTCACATATCTTAGAGGTCATCTTCAGTAAATGCTTTGACTGCAAGTTGGATTGGTATTTGAGTTCAGTCTTATTTTATTAGCTATTTCTAGGCTAAAGATCCTACTTAGATTATCTAAATGAAAAAAAAAAATACCACTGTAACAGACAACCATTTGTGACTGTCCTTTTGTGCCTGGTCTTCAGATTTCTACTTTTTGGTTCTTTCAATTTGGGCAAGCCTAATTCCTACAAATGTTGAGCTTGCCTTGTCTGTACCATGGTGACAACAATAACTTTTTTTCAGAATTGTAAAAACAAAACATTTACATCACAGTTGCCATTGAATAGTCCCTGGGACATAGTAGGTTTTTCTTTTGACATTCTGGTAAAACAAAAGGATTTCTAAGTAACATGTCAAGCCCATTTCTTTTTGCTTTGTGTGCATTTTAACAATCCCATAGGAAGTTCCTTATAAGCACTTTCATTACTTATCTGCTGCATTGTGTGTGATTTGGGTTGTTGTTTTCCTATGTTTCAGATGTTATAGATGGAGAAAATAGAATATTCAGACTTCAGGATTTTAAAGAGTGGAAAGTTTTACAAGAAAATATATTTTTCAACTGAATATAATAATTGGTTATATGGAACATAGCTTAGAATTTAAAAACTACAAGAGATGTTACTTTTCTCACATTATTTCCCATAGGTACTATTTAAATTTTTCTCATTTTCCAATGCTGTTCCTTTCCCCCACATTCTCTCCCTACCACAAGTTCTATAAAGTTTATTTAATTGCAGAAATGTAATTTTGATGTCAAGATTAGAATCAGTTGAGTAGACTATAAACTATAGATGAGTTTTAGTTATATATAATAAAAACTTTAAAAGAATTACTATTCCTTTCCCATGTAATCCAAATTCTATGATACATTTTAAGGAAATAACCAGAAAAGAGGGGGTAACAGGTAATAATTATTGAAAATATTTAAATATAAATATTTAAATAAAAATAAAATAAAATATTTAAATAAATATTTATTTATTTATTAAATATTAAATAAAATAAAATATTTAAATAAATATTTATTTATTTATTAAATATTAAATAAAATAAATATTTAAATAAAAATAAAATAAAATATTTAAATAAAAATAAATTAAAAATAAAAAATATGTTTATATGAATATGAAAATATATTTTTAAAATATTTAAATATATTTTTAAAATATATTTATATGAATATGAAAATATATTTTTAAAATATTTAAATATATTTTTAAAATATATTTATATGAATATGAAAATATATTTTTAAAATATTTAAATATATTTTTAAAATATATTTATATGAATATGAAAATATATTTTTAAAATATTTAAATATATTTTTAAAATATATTTATATGAATATGAAAATATATTTTTAAAATATTTAAATATTCCATAAACTCAGGACAATTTGCACACACTGTTATTTCCATGTAGTGGATTAGCTTATTAAAATGCTACTTAATGTATATTTAAACATAAGGAGATATTTGCATTATAATTTATAGTATAAAAATCAGAATTACAAATTCCATTTTAACTTTTAAAAACATACATACTAGCCAGGCACGGTGGCTCATGCCTGTAATCCCAGCACTTTGGGAGGCTCACAGTGTGAGACTCTGTGTCAAGAAAAAAAAAATACTAAACACATATAAGGAAATACACTAGAATATTGGCTGCAATAAGAATTAGTTGGTACATTTTGAAATATTAAATATATTTTCTTTTTTCTGATATTTTGTTTTCAAATGAGTACTTTTTAAAAAGTAAGCATTATTTTAAACTATGCGGTCTTCTCACCAGAAACAAATTTAACTTACTATTAAATATGTTATCCATAAATTCTGTTCATAGCATTTGACTATTTCCATGGTGTAAATACTTCCACAATGGCTGACTTTAAGCTACCAATGTTTGAATAACTAGCTTATAGAGATTCTGAAAATTTAATAATTGGTCCGTGAGCCAGTATGAGCCATTCTAACACACTATTTCAGGGATCCCATTAATCATCCTGAAAACTAGGTAAATAAAAGGAAATAATCAAATATTTATAATCCTATTATAATTGAACTATCCCTTGGGTAACCAAATAGTATATAGGAAGTATCTCTTTATAAATGATTACTTTATAAATAAAAACAAGATAATAAAATTAAATATCACAAATTTATATCCTCAATGTATTAATGGATCTAGGCTTCGAGCTTCAATTGGAGGAAGTAAGAGAGTGAATGAGAGAGAGAGAGAGATTGCTATTCACAGCGTAAGGGGCAAGAAAACAGTGATTAATTAAATGTTTTAAACTGTGTGTTTCAATTTAATCTGCATGCAATTATTCCCTGTTCTATAAATTGTATGTTTTAGTATTCCTCCCACTTTCCAGTCTGTTCCTATTATTTTTTTTGTCAGGGTTTATATTAAAGACTGCCTTGCAACTCTATTTTTTTTTTCTAGATGGATTGCTCTAGTTTTCTAAATAAATTCAATATTTACCACCATTTCTTTACTAAGTATGGCTATTTCATTTTTTTAAATTTTTGAATTCTTGATATTTGAATCATCTTTTGTTTGTCTGGATTTAAATACTAGTTTGCTTTTTAGCCATCCAAGCACCCATGCATACTCTTTTAAGTTGTCTCCTGTGAATGATAGCCATTTGCCTTTATAGTCGGAAGTCAACATTTTGGATAACAATTTTCACTCACACATTGTTTTCCCCATCAGAAAATTGAAGACAGTGTTTCACTGTATTTTGGAATTGAATGTTGCTGTGATGAAATTTAAGGCCATCTTGAATAATTTCTTTTTGAAGTTGACTTGTTTTTTCTGCCTGTTTGCCTAAGGTATTTTTTTTTATCAGGGACGCACAATAATTTAATTATGATTTGTGTTATTTCTGAATATTCTGTTAAAGTTTTTTCCTGATATATAATATAACCTCTTCATATTCAGATCCTCAGGTCTTAGAAATATTACTTTATTATATTCCTTAAACTTTTTATTTCACTCCTGTTTCTAATAAGTAGTTTTTCATATATTCAATTATCTTTGTGTGTCTATTTATCAACTCTCAATGAGAATCTATTTCCCTTTTCTCTGAATTTCCTATATTTGCTTTGAATCTTTTCTTTATGTCACTTATTTGACTTTTTATTTTGTTTCTCTTGTTTCTTGCTATTTCTAATCTATCCAATCAATTTGACTATTTTGGTCCTCAATTAATTTTCTTAGTTGTGAAATCTTATATTTCAACTCATTTTTGTTCTCTTTCATCTCATCTCTGTGATCCACTTTATTGACTTCTACTTACTCTTATCAAATTATTTTGTATTTCAAAATGATCTCTAGAGTATGCTTTTAGTTTTTGGATTATGTTTCATGCAGGTAGTTCTTTGTCCTTATTTTGTATATAATGTTATTGTTTACTCTTTCCTTTTTTTTTTTGAGACAGGGTCTCACTTTGTCACCCAGGCTGGAATGGAGTGGCACGATCTCGAACTCACTGAAGCCTTGACCTCCTGGGCTCAAGCAATCCTCCTGCCTCAGTCTCAATGTAGCTAGGACTACAGGCATGCGCCACCATGCCCAGCTAATTTCTTTTGTGTATTTTTTTTCCATAAAGTTGTGGTCTCACCATGTTAAGCTCAGGCAATCTGCCTACCTGGACCTCCCAAAGTGCTAGAATTACAGGCATGTGCCACTGTGCCCTGCCATATATAATGCTTTATTTTTTTTCTCTTCCACCTCTAACCTTATCCTTCTTTTCCTTTTTTTTCTTCCTATTGCGATATGTTTACATAGTTCATGTATGCTATTTCTTTGAATTTTTAAAATGAGCAGCTTGGCTCAGATCTTGTATCTGCACTGACTTTATGTGACTGAATTATCCTAGACACATTTTCCACCTTTTAAGACGATTTTCTCTACACTACTATATTTAAAGGCTAGATATTTTGATCTAAATATTTTCTCTAACTTGTGTATTTGGTAGTATTCATGAACCTTTCCTGTACGTATCCACAGTCTCTCTAGTTGTGAACTGGATCAGGTCCCAAAGACATCTCTTCAGCATTTCCCACTCTCCCTCCATCATCAACATTTTCTATCTCTTCTAGATGATCCCAGCAGTAGAAAAACAGGTTCTTACATGCCATAGTTTTGAAAGTGCTTGATTGATCACCTTTCTCTCCAGTCATTGCTACATACCCCTGTCTCCATTTACTGCAAACTTCCTTAAAATATTTTCTATAGTTAGTTGCCCCAACTCTTTCCCTCTTATTCTCCCTGCAACTCAGTAGGCCTTCACTCTTTACGTTACATAGAAACCACTCTTGTCATGGCCAACAGTAATCACCGTGTGGCTACATTCAGTGGTCAATTCTCGGTCCTCATCTTATCTGATTATTAATTAGCAATATTTAACATAGCACTTGACACTCATTCTTACTTGAGTCATCTGCTCTTGACATCCAGGACACCATCCTGTCTCACTGACCAGCCATTTTCAGTTTCCTTTTCTGGTTCCTTCTGATCTTCTTAACTTATTAAAGCTGTAATGCTCTTAGGCCCTGCCTTTTAACTTCCTCTTTTCTATTTCTCACAACCTTGGTGAGAGCTTTCAATGCTATCCATATGTTGAGAAGACCTTATATTTTATCTCCAGTCAGGCTGTCTTCACTAAACTCCACACATCAAATCTCCATTTGGATGTCTAATGGGCATTTCAAAATTTACATATCCAGAGCCAAACTCCTGATCTTTTTCACAGTTTCTGCTTCTTTAATAGTCTTCCCCATCTCAATTAATGGCTACATTTTTATTTTCTGCCCCATCTCAATTAATGGCTACATTTTTATTTTCCGGGTATAATTTTGCAGACATACTTGACTCACTTCTTTTACACCCTCATCTAATCAGTCAGAAAATCCTATTTGCTCTACTTTCCAAATACATCCACATTTCAGCCTCTTTTTATAACCTCTTTTGCTACCACTATCATCATCTTTTCTCTGAATTATTGATATATCTTCCTAATTGGTCCCCTTGCTTCTGTTCTTGCCCCTCCTATTGCCTTTTTTTGAGACCATAGTCAGAATGGCCCAATTAAAATATGTTAGATCAAGAGTATCCTGTGTTTGAAACTCTCCATGGCTTCACTTCTCACTGCATGTAAAACTTAAAATACTCAACAATGATATGAGGCCTATGCAATAGACCTGCCTCCAGGCCCAGCCCAATTACTCTTTTATCCCATCTTCTATTTAATACTAACCTCTACCTAGCTCATCCCATCTAAGTGGCCCTGTCTAGCTGGCTGTTTCTCACGCCTGCCCTTGCACTAGCTGTTTCTGCTGCCTGGAATCTCCACCTCCACCTATCTACATGGTTCATTCTCTCACTTCCTTCCAGCCTTTGTTCATTTGCCACCTTCTCCCAGAGGCCTTCCCTGACCATGCTATTAAAAATTGGAACCCCTTTCCCCTCAGGACTTTTCTATCTCTTTTTTCTCCTTTAATTTTCTTCATACCATTTAAAATATTCTAATAAGAATATGATATCCTATAAGAATATTGAATATAAAATTTATATTAGAACATGATCAATGCCATGAAGAAAATTAAAGGAAATTTACTTGGTTTGTTTTTAATATCTGTCTCTATTTTAGTGTAAATTCCATAAAACTAGAGATTTTTGTCTGATTTGTTCACTCGTATTTCCTCAGTGCTTAGAACAGTGCCAGATACATAATAGTTTTCCAATTAAGAATGGTTGAGTAAACAAATAAATCAATGAAAAAATAAATTGTGGACGGGTGATGCCTTAGCTGCAGCTGAATGTAATTCATGCTATGAGATGTGGGCTTTTTCATATTGTTTCATAAATTGCCATGTCAGGGCACTCTCATCCCATCTAAAAGTCTGACAATCCCTTGGTTTTTTGCTCTTTCATTCAGGCACACTTATTACAGTGTGCCTGAAGATAGAAACTCTTGATGATACTTTCTCACTGATATTTCCCTGTATTACGTAAGTTGTTTGTAGTTAGACTTATCCTGATTTTCCTAGGGCTCGTGAGTCACTCCCTCAGTTAGGTTCACTAAAAACTACAGAGTATTGATGAGAATTTACAGGATTTTTGTGACTCATCATTCCTTAAGTACTGGCTTCTTGAGAGATGGGGCAAGGCGTGATGGTGCTGAGATCATCTGTTTTCTTGCTTTGGCATTCTACTTTTTCTGGCTGCATATTCTGTTGTACTCCTTTCATAATTTGGGTTGTGCTTGTGAGTTTTGTTGTTATTTTTACTTTTTTTTTATTTTGTTAAATATTGTGGGAGAGAGACTTTTCACTTCTGTTTTTATCCTATCTTTGCAAGAAATCCAGATATTATTTTTTTAATGAAGCAATAGTTAAAAATAAATCGACAATCCATGCTATTGTTGTATTTTTGTTTCTTGTTTTTTTATTTTAGTTAAAATGTGCAACTATTTGTTGCAGATTTCAAGATCATTATTTTTTTTTTCAGGTTGCTTTTTACCTTTCCAGCTGTAGATTTTACTGTGGAAATTTCTAAGTAACATTTGCCTAAACTGTATAATCATGCACTTTTCTTTAGTTTCAATGTGAACATCCTTGTTTTGTGATATATAAAAGCTTTTATAATTAAATAACAACAAAATTCAACAGTATTACATATAATCAAGAAAAAAGTAAGTTTTCTCAAATGCTAAAGCAGATCTTTATGAGGAGATTTTTCTAAATCTTAAATTTATTATGAAATTTGAGGAACATGGACTTTGTATTAAAATTCTTTTAACATCTTACATAAAAATGACACATACCTTTAAATATTTCAGCCACTCTAGGAACATGATGCCTCATTAACAAGTTCTCTATTTAAAGGTGGTCAGCATGGTTTGCATCCGAAATAAAAACTGAGTCATTATATGAGAGCCTACCTGACCCACAGTGGACTCATGGGGACTAGACTATGTTTTTCTTTCTTGAAATTCTTCAATTTACAAAACAAATGCCCTAATCACACACCCTTGTTTTCAGGAAAGAGAAAAGTTCTTATTGAATTTTCATCTTTCACTAGAGTTCACTTAGTAAGGGCTGTCTATAGCTGCTTGTTCCTGTTCCACTTCCTGCACACAGTCAGGGGAACTGGTTCTCAGGCTGTCATCATTAAAATTTGTTAAGCCTCAGCCTTAGTAAGTTATATTGAGGCAATAACATAAGAATGGAATAAATAATAGAAAACCTAGGGATAATGAGAAATGTAGGCATCAGAAGAATGTGTATGTAGATACAAAAAGGATGAAAAATGTTAGTGATAACTTGCTAATTTATGTTTTCCTTATTAATATTTTGAAATCATATGCATTTCTCCAATAGATTCTCTAAAAGTGTTGCAAACAGAAGGCAAATAATGGAATGAACACTTACAGTATTACCACCCTTTCTAAAAATTCTAACTCAACATAACAATTTTTAAATCATAGTTTCCAAGTAATTATCTGATATTGAGTGTAGGATAATTGAAAGTAATTTTAGCTAACAAAATGAAATTGGCAGAAATGTATGCTTATTTTAACTAAAGATTTTAAATAACAGAAGTATAACTTTCTCTACTAATTGGGAGATTTCCGTTGGTAGATGATTTCTCAAAATTTGAAAAATAAGTTAGAAAACACAATGGGGAGAAAAGTATTGCCTTTTTCTGTCATACTAGAACTTAACTGAAGCATTTGTATTGAAGTCACATATTTTGTTTATGTAACATAATCAATAATGTTAAATAATTGACATTTTTAAGTTACTAATTCCCTTACACATTATAGTGAAATGATTATAATTGGGCATGTAGCAAAGGATGTATTTAATCAAGAGTTTTGCTAATTATTTTCTAGCTTTTCTTAGATTGAGATGGCAAGTAGTCGTTAGTGTATATGCTGCCTGCTTGTGTTATTTTCTGTTTTGATTTTCTTTAATGCTTGAGAAGTAAAAGGAATAAGTAAATTTTAAAACTATTTCCTCATTTGTATTTTAAAGAATGCTTATTTTTCTTATACAACTCAGCTTTAATAATGCTTCTTTTTTCCTGTGTAAAATGCTCACAGGAACTCTGCTTTTTTTAAAAAAAAAAAAAAAGGAAAAGATGGAACTAACCAGGAAAATTGATTATTTTTAATAGCATTTTAATATGGATATTATTTTCTCTTTCTTAATGGAGTCATGAACTTCTGTCTAAAGTATAACAGCAGAGAAACAAACAACTCCTGAAGAAATACTTGGCAGACAAAATGAATGCCACATGGTGAGTCTCACCTTTCAGCAAAGTCAAAGCATAACCAAAGGTACATTTGTAGGAGATTATTAGATAAGAGAAATGATTCACACACTGCCGGGATACACATATTGCTCTGTGGGAACTTCCTTCAGAGTTAGGATCTTCTGAGAGAATGGGCTAAGCTGTACAGATGCCTACACAAACATAGGGGGTACACGTTATGATTTTCCAACAGGAAGATCATTTTATTTTCCAAACCTAATGTTTTCTTGCTACCTTCTAGGTTATGCAATCTATTTTGCTGGGTAACCATGGCAGTGCAGTAATTCTCAGGTTAAAGCTTTTCATGAAACAAAGCTTACATTTTTTCTAGCAGCGGGAAACATTTGACTGAAAAGCAAATCAGAATCTTTTGAGACTAGATGCATGCTGTGTAATTTTGAGTTCAGCATGTGTCTTGGGGAGTGTGTTTAATAAATTCTTTTCCCTGAGGCAGCTCTATTTTGTCTGCCTAGGGATACAAAGGACATTCTGTTCAACTGTTAGAATTCCATATTGACCTAGGCAAGTACTTATAATCGCTAAAAAGCAAATGAAAAATTGCAAGTTATTTTTGCTATTCTCTTTACGGTATATTCTTATTGAAAATACTTTTGGGGGGGCATATAAATAGGTTATTTTAAGATGTTTTTAGGTTTAAGGCAATACAATAAAATTGCTGAAAATGATATTACTAAATATTTTGCCTTTATTAAAGTGTTAGTCATCTAATTTTTAGGACATATTGGTTGTCATTGATTTTCAACATATTTATGCATGTTTGTGTGTGTAAATCATTTTGGAGTATTTGTTTAATGTACTCATGAAACTTGGAAGCACAAAAAACATTTCTTTCTTCTCACAATAGTAAAATTTAAGGAAAAAACAGCAAATATTTAGATTCATGTGGATAATAGCTACTTACTGATATATACAGATGTTAATAAGCTCAATAAATTAATTCAGCCATTTATTTACTTATTTTATTTTATTTTATTTTACCAAACTTCTTATGTGGAATTTATGTAGAATTTCAATGGAAAGTTAAAATTTTAGAATTTGGCTTACTTTGTAGTTCTGTGTTTTTTTTTTTTTTTTGTCTTGACCATCCCTTTCCCAAACATTTAAAATTATAATATTTGGCAAAATAAGTAGCTTGACTACCAAGAAACTGAGTTTCCTTTGAACACTGTAAATACAGATAATTAATATAGAGTTTACCTGCATTTCCTTAGTTTTTGAGATCTATTTTTTTCAAACCGAACTGCATAATATATTACTCCCTTATATTGCCTTATAGAATCTGAACACTAAATGCGATACTAGAAAGCAAATTCAGAAAGAGTAGCTTGTCACATAAAAACGAATACTATACAAAAACTTTGTGTGGGTGGTTTTAAGGCTAATATTTCATTTCTAATATTTAATTTGATATTTGAGCATTACAAACTGATGTCTTGTGTTTTTAGATATTAGGTTTTATGCTATACTTTAGCTTAGACAGAAATAGAATTGCATAAATAAAATTTGGTGACTTAAAAAAGAAAATAGGGATAAACTACTAGGAATAATAGGATAAAGGAAAGGAAAAATAAAAGCAGAATAAGAAATATTCTATGTACAAAATGAAAAGGACTCAACCAGAAGAACTATATGTTCTGTCACAATTCATTTGCCTTTTAAAATGTTTATTATATATCTATATTCAATATAGATATTCAATTGTTCTCTGAAACACTAAAATATGAGTTCTGAAGATTTATGTTATAGAGATTAATGGGAACACTGTCATTTTTTAGCTATATCAGAAACATTTGTTAATTATTTTACATTATCATTTTTTCTTTTTTCTTTTATCAGCAATAGGTGTGGTTTAATTTAGGATTTAGGAAAACAGTGTAAGTATGTGGCGTATATATTTTCTTAATGTTGCATCATTCCATACATTTAATTATTATGATGGCAAAATGCTAATGTCACATTGTGTAAAAGCTTGTGGAATGAAAGATATTGTTGTAGCCATCTTTGACCACTGGTTGCTTCCTGGTCATAAATATTCAAATATGTCCCACAAAAAAAAAATCCTTACTCCTTCCGCAAAACTCTCATCCCATTACAGCATTTGCTTGAAGTCTATCATCTCATAATTTAAGTCATATCAATTTCTGAATGATGCTTCCCAGGGCTGGTACCTCAGGATCAGCTACTTGGACGTAGCTTCTCTTAGTCCAAAGGCAAACCAGGAAGTTAATTTATTTGCCCTCCATTTATCAAACATATAATGTGGAGACAAAGACAAGATGACTTCTAGATACATATAAGTAAAAGAGAGCAGAGCTGTAGGCACATAAACATCACAGGTTCACAGCAATTCTAAAATTCAGCCAGGCAAATGAATTTGTGAGTTCAGTTCTTTGATTAGGGCAATTCTGCTCCCCTGGATTGCTTCTTTGTTGTTCTTTGCTCTTCCCACTAAGTAAATGTTCATTTTCTGTGAGGAAGGCATTTATGAGCAACTGAAAAGCTTCTCAGCATGCTACCTGCCTGAAGGAATTTGGAGGCAAAAAGGCAACTTTTTAATTTTAAAATGTCTGTATCTCTCCAGCTCATGGATATATAAGTTATTTTAAAACCTCATAGGTTTTCTAGATACCAAATTATAAATTTACTCCATTTGACATAATTCATACCCCCAAATCTCTTTGAGATAAGCTTGTCTCTGCTATACTTCAGAGTTCTGTGGGACAATTTTCTTAAACGTTTTTTTGTGTTGAATCAAAGGTGAGTCATTAAGAAATTCCTTAGGACTGATAGAAGCCCATTTGTCTAGCTAAAATGTAGGGCACCTTGTTAAATCTGTTTAACAACTTATCAAAGGATTTCACAGTAGACCTTTGATTTGATATTTATTCCTGAAACATTATGGATTCCATCTTTGCAAAGAGTCCTTTTTCACTAGGGTAGTTGTTTGTTAGGGGGTGACCAAGGAGGAAAAACAATTTCATCTTTGATCTCAGCAAATACTGGCTTTTTAATATTTTCACCAAATTCTGCTTGAAAATGGAACAGTATCTCCTTTAGTACATCTCGTTTCTTATGTACTTTTTCATGGGAATCTAAAATAAGACAGTTGGCACTTACATCATTTTGTATGAAAATCTTAGCCAGAACTAAGTACATTGGGTACACTTTTAATATTCCATGTTATTCCTGGCCACACTTTTGCTAATTTTGCTGTGCTAGCAGCATGTGATAACTTGTATATCCCTTTTTTTTTCTATAATTTTATCTGTTGCAGGCAATAGCAGTTTTCTCACTTCCCTTAAAACTCCACTAATATTCTCCTTGAGTAACTTTAGACCTGTTCCCACTAACAATTCCCAAAGTCAATGCTACATGTTTTAGGTTTCTATTACAGCGGGATCCTGCTTCCAGATATTAATTATGTTTTAGTTATCCATTGCTGCACTACAAACTACATCAGAAGTTAGTAACTTCAAACAATAACAATAACCAGTTTATTTGTATACACTTCCTCAATAAGGGCTGGGCTGGGTTCTGTTTTGTTTTGCTTTTTCCTCAGGGTCTTACCAGTGTTATTCTTGTGGCTGTGTTTCACTCTTCAGTTTGGAGGCTGTAATAACCGACGTTTTACTCTTTCTATACAGACTAAATGTCTCTTGGTCTCTAGGTGGCCTATCCTGCAAAGTAGCTAGACATATTATAGGATGAGTCAGTACTACTGAGAACTGAAAAACGGATGTTTTCAGGCCTTCTTAAGGCCTGGGATCAGAAATCTCAGGACATTACTTTTGCCATGTTCTTTGTCAAAACAGTCCCTGAGGGCATTCTAGATTCAAAGGGAAAAGCAGACTCTACCTCTTGACTGGAGAGTGCTAAGGTCACATTTCAGGAGAAGATTAGGAATGGGAGATTTTGGTGTGGCCATCTTAGAAATACAATCTTCCAAAATATATAGTATAATACATTAGTATAGATATTTGAACTTCTAACCTCATTGGGTGTTATAATGATATAGTCTCATAAGTTATTCAATTTAGTATCCTATACCTTGCAAGAATCTCTTCTTCTGGTGGAAATATAATAAAATATAAAATCTGCCAACCCCCAAATTTCTCCTCACAAATATAGAAAAAAAAAAAGTTTTTATCATTGAATGAGCATTCAACTGACTACAATTCACATTCTAGGCAATCCCTAAAGAGATGGCAAAGAACAAAGGAATCTAACTATTTTCTATAGCCAAGCTGATGCAATCCATTACATACATGTTGGATTCTATGTTTAAATGTTTCCATTCAAAGGAAAAATTAAACTTGCATGTTTTCAACAAATAGGAAGTTACATCTTGGAGTCAAATATCTAGGCTTAAACTTCTGAGGAGTCAGGGAGAAAGAGTGCCCCTCTCCTTGATGTTTATATTTCAAAAAAGATGTTTTCAGAGGTCCCCATGAAAGACATTCCTGGGATCAAAACTGGCAAGAGGCTCATTGAATTTTAGAAAGATTTGCATATATCTCAAAGAGACAGAAAAAAACATTTACAATTTCCGGTGTTCTAATAGAAGACAAGTAGTTCTTCGATGGGTGGGAAAGGAGTTCTCTTCCCTTTGGCACCAGGGAAAATTTTTAATGTAAATATTTTTTAGATTTGTATCTACCCTATATTCAGCACCATTCTTACGAGATGACCATCTAGGTGTGCACTGAGTGCTTTAAAGAGAAAATTGCTATAGCATTGTAAATCATACTTTATTGGCTACTAGTCATCATGAAAGTATTCTTTACATGTAATGATAAAGTTGGTACAAATTTTACCCATTTATCCTAGGGCACCATTTATTCTCTTCACTATCCCCTTGCCTTTTAATTGCTTGCTTTCATTATCATTGCCCCATTGAGTTCATCTTTATCACTGCCACTCAAGAGTTCTTTGCAAATCTGATCATGTTACTTTTCTTCTCAAATTGTCCATTAGGTTTTCTGTGCTTTCAGAATAAATTTCACATTTGTTTTCAGATTATACAGAGAGTATTGTAAGCTTTCCTTTGCCTACCTATCTGACTTTCTTCCTTACACTTGCACCACTCTTTAGCTGTAAGTTAAAATCTTTAGTTAAGGGCATCATGCCTTCTTAAGTCTCTGTGCCTTTGCATGTACTCTTGCTTTCATGCTAAGCATTCTCCTATCCCTTCTTCATATAAACTAATATAATGCCTGTTTATTATTCAGAGATTCAGCTGATGCTTTATCTCCTCTGAGAGGCCATTTCTTTCTATGTATAGCTTCTGCCAAGTGACCCTTTTTGATACTCTCTACTATGTCTTCTGCATTTCTGTAAGTCTGGCACCAAGTACAAAGCATTTGGTGCCCAAATTTTACCAAATAAATGTTTGATAACTTTAAAAAGGAATAAGTTCTTTGAGGTAGGTAATCTAATGCTGTTGTGGGGGTGAGGTAAGAAGAAGCTGGAAATTTATTTAACATCTTTTGGATTTTAAAGAGGAAAATTAAGAAGCTGAGGGCAAGTTGTTTTCTCCTTGGGTAAAAAAGCCCAAGATTGCCAATATGTGGGCTTTCTGTGGAGTAACTTTCTTTTAAAGTTACTCCATCTCAGGGAGTATGGATTTGGAGTAACTTTAAATGAAAATTTTCTGCCAGAATTTGAAATGGTGGACTTAGGTCTCAGTCAAGATGAGGTTAACACCTCACCAGAGTTAGAATATGTTAAGAAAGACAGTAATCCTAAGTATAAAAATTAGGAAAAAATAATCCAAAAAATTGCAAGTTAGTGAATCAGAAAGAGAATAAAATAATGCATTTGCTGAGTAAACTGAGGTCATATTAACTAAATTCCTTATGCTGTAAATGGGTTTAGCTACATATTTACTTGCCTTTTAATAGGTTTAATTGTGTGCTTTTTGCCAATGACTGGTGTTTAGGAAATGGGAACTTCAACATCAGAAAAGAGAAAAGATATGGGAAGTCCTAAATCTAAGCTCTTTGAAGGAGAGATGTTTAGAAGTGTTAAAGGTTAGGAACACAGAAAAGGGGCAGTGGAAATTGGCATGTTAGTTTTCATATTTCATGCTGCATATGTTGCCTATTTGGTACCAACCTATACATGCAGACAGTACTTTAACTGTGAACTGTTTTGTATTGTTACTTCAATTATAACAGTGAAACCAGGAGGTACAGGGAAGCGAGTACTCCTTCACTGAGTTTTTAAAAACTGTTATCCTAGTGTCTCTATAATGTAACCAATTACTTAGTGGGAATGTACAGATAGAGGCTGAGAATGGCTATCATTTTTGGGAGGGATGGAGGAAGAGAATCTAATAAAGTGGCAAACAGAGTAGTAGAATATAAGTAATGGCATGGAAATTAGGAAGAGAGAGAGGGAATAATTAATATTGCCAATGGCTGAAGAGAGGTTAAGTAGAAAGAAGACTGAAAGAACGCATTGGCTTTGCCAAGTAGGGAACTATTGGTGGTCTTAGCAAGAACAGGTTATGTAGAATGATGAGGGTGGAAAATGTGGAAATCAGCCTGTCATAAATTAGAATAAATGGGGGGAGGGGTGGGAATATCAACATCAACACTATCATATTTATGTATCCATAACCAATGTGTAATATTGGATTGTATTTTTTAAAAAATTACTAGGTTATATTTCTAGATAATATTTATACTAGCTGCCATTGAAATCTATTCTTTTCTTCTTGAGCCAACACAGAGGTGGGAAAATAAATCTTCCCTGGATTTCTTGGTGTTGTTATGAGGTCTTGACCATCTAAAAGACAGACATTGATACACTATGAAGATAATGTTTGCTTTATTTCCCCCAGAAAAAATAAATGTTCTCTTCATATAGTATGGATACTAGATCTGCAATCTTTTGTCTCCTTAATTGTAGCCAGTTGATCCCATCTGGAGATTAAGATTTCTCCTAATTTACCCAGAGCAAAACACTTACATTTCGGGGTAGAGATCTTCACCCTCTTCAGAAGGAGACCTTTGAAGGAAATAAGAGAATTATTTCCCTGTATGTTTACATTTCAAATGAAGAGAAAACCCCGAGTGGTAAACTTAGAGATGCTAGTATTTTTTCCATCTAGAAGCATATTTACATTCAAAGTATAAGAACTCAAAATTCTTTCCCTTTTCTTCCCAAGGTGAATATGCTTACATTAGGAATAAAAGGTTGTCCTCCCTTCATTTAAGAGGGAAGGAGAGACAATTGTTCCTCTACTAGATCCATATTTTCAGAGTCTCCCTTCCACAGTACAATCTTGGCATATGTGTGGAACTATCTCTTTGACTATATGTAGCCTCTCATCTGGTCACCTAGGTGGTACTAGCCTTGGGGAACCAGTGCTACGTTACTCTGGCTGCTGTTATTGTAAGAAAATAAACCTCTGATTTCTGACCCAGATGCCTGATATTTCTACTAGTATCGATTTATCTGTCTCTCTGTCTATCTAATCCATCTGTATTAGTCTGTTTTCACAATGCCAATAAAGACATGCCTGAGACTGGGCAATTTATAAAAGAGGTCTAATGGACTTATAGTTCCAAATGGGTGTGGAGGCCTCACAATCATGCTGGAAGGCAAGGAGGTTCAAGTCACGTTTTACATGGATGACCCCAGGCAAAGAGAGAGAGCTCGTGCAGGGAAATTCTTGTTTTTAAAACCATCAGATCTCATGAGACTTATTCACTATCATGAGAACAGCATGGGAAAGACCCGCCCCCATGATTCAATGACCTCCCACTGGGTTCTTCCCATGAACTGTGGGAATTGTGGGAGTTACAATTCAAGATGAGATTTGAGTGGGGACACAGGGAAACAATGTCACCATCTATCTGTCTATCTATTTGTCAATATATAACTGTGAAAGTAGGGTAACATCTCAGACCTATCACAGTTTCTGACTTACCATCAGCTAGACCATGTTATCTTGACCATCATGTAGTTACCATAGATGAACAACTGAATTCTAGTTATTGCAATGTGAGTGGAAATGATGTCTGTCACTTCCAGGCCTGATTCTTAAACATTATTTGTTTTGTCCTCTATGTATTGTCTCTTTCTGTTCAACTGGGATTGCCAGAGATCTTGGAAGCCAGTTTTTGAAAATGGCTGATTTGCTATGAGTCTGGGTTTCTGAAAGACTGCCTACTTACCCACTCCTCTCACCTACTTTACCTTGCTGGCCAGAAACATTGATTCTTCACTACTATTTGAGTGAGACATAAATTTCTATTTTGTCTATTTGTTAGAGCAGTTAAGAACAATACTATATTTACACATAATAGAGTGGGTAAGAGTTTATTTTAGGGACAGATTGCATGTAAATAAATTACTGTTTGATCTTCAGCAAAATAGTTAATCTTTCTGTTCCTCAGTTTTCTCATCTGTAAACTGGGATAACTCTTAGGACTTTTCTTGAGATTAAATTAATGTATTTGAAGTGCTTAGAACAATGTCTAGCACATGGAAAATAGCCTGAAGTACTTTGTTATTGTTATTATTATACATTCATTACTTGATTTTTCTCTTAAGGTAAGTTTTCAAGAATATTCTCTGTAGATAAATGCAGATTTGGTTCATTTATTTTGATGATTAGATTGTATTCCATTATATTAAGGCCCATACTTAGTTATTTCTTGAATACAAACTATAAGAACATAAGTGTGAAGAACATGTAACAACTTCAGAATTGTAGTTATTTCTGTGGGAAAAGGAAAGAGGGGAGGGGATGGAATTGTATATCTTTTTCTAAATGGCAATTTTGATAATTATGGGTGATAAATACATAGGTTTCTTTTATATTACACATGTATTTTCTCTAATTTTGAAATATTATATAATTAAAATAAATTGCAAATTACTTTTTATGACCTTTTACTAATAAACAAAAAACTTTCCTATAAATTGGTGCATTTTACTCATTTATAGCTTTTTTTCTAAGTCATTTATAAGATTTGTGTTTTTATGTACCATTAATGGAATAGTGCAGTTTTGAATATAGCCCAAAGTATTCAATTCTTAAACACGGATGGTATAAACATGACATAGTAAACTTAATCCAACCATTAGTATTGCTATAATTTATTGAATCTAATATACCATCAAGTGTAAAAAGCCTCATTTTACATAGCATTCAGAAAGAAAAATATTCTGATTTTAAGAAACCATGAAGTGTAACATGCATTCTAATTTTAGAGATGTTAAGATGTAAAAAAAATGGTGTGTTGGAAATAATAAAATATATTTTTTCTAATAGCAGTTTTCATTTCTTCAATAGACATAAATATCATCAAAGAATTTTGTTTCTTAGCTTTATTGAAGTATGTTTTATATAAAATTTTTAAAACTAAATTTAAAGGTTCAATTTGATTGAATTTTGATAGTTATATTGTGTAATAGATCATTTTCATCTCCTCTTTACTATAAGTTTCCTTTCTGTGACTCCTTACCTGTAACAGCCACTTCTGGTTTCTATAGTTATATTTTTCCTTTTCTAGAAGTTCATTTAAATGAAATAATACCATATGTAGTCTTCCTGGTCTGGGTTTTTTTTTTCCATAGGTTATTGGGGTATAGACAGGTGATATTTGGTTATATGAGTTAAGTATACACTGCACCCTATTTGTAGTCTTTTGTCCCTCCCCCTACTCCCACCCTTCCTCCCAAGTCCCCAAAGTCCATTGTATCATTCTTATGACTTTGCATCCTCATAGCTTAGCTCCCACATGTCAGTGAGAACATACAGTGTTTGGTTTTCCATTCCTGAATTGCTTCACTTAGAATAATAGTCTCCAATCTCATCCAGGTCACAGAAAATGCGTTAATTCATTCTTTTTTATGGCTGAGTAGTATTCCATTGTGTGTGTGTGTGTGTGTGTGTGTGTGTGTGTGTGTTTGTATACATACATATATATATATATATATACACACACACACACACACACACACACCACAGTTTCTTTATCCACTCATTGATTGATGGGCATTTGGGTTGGTTCCATGATTTTGCAATTGCGAATTGTGCTGCTATAAACATGCATGTGCAAGTATCTTTTTCATGTAATGACTTCCTTTCTTCAGGGTAGATACTCAGTCATGGGATTGCTGGATCAAATGGTAGTTCTACTTTTAGTTCTTTAAGGAATCTCCACACTGTTTTCCATAGTGGCTGTACTAATTTACATTCCCACCAGCAGTGTAGAAGTGTTCCCTGTTCACTGCATCCACGCCAACATCTACTGTTTTTTGATTTTTTGATTATGGTCATTCTTGCAGGAGTAGGTGGTATTGCACTGTGGTTTTGATATGCATTTCCCTGATCATTAGTGATGTTGAACATTTTTTCATTTTTGTTGGTCATTTGTATATCTTGTTTTGGGAATTGTCTATTCATGTTCTTAGCCCACTTTTTGATGGGATTGTTTTTTTCTTGCTGATTTGTTTGAGTTAATTGTAGACTCTGGATATTAGTCCTTTGTCAGATGTATAGATTGTGACAATTTTCTCCCACTCTATGGGTTGCCTTTTACTCTGGTGACTGTTCCTTTTGCCAAGCAAAAGCTCTTTAGTTTAATTAAGTCCCAGTTATTTACTCTTTTTCTATTGCATTTGCTTTGGGGTTCTTGGTCATAAAATCCTTGCCTAAGCCAATGTCTATTATCTTCTAGAATTTTTTGTTTCAGGTCTTAAATTTAAGTCCTTAATCAATCTTGAGTTGATTTTTGTGTAAGGTTAGAGATGAGGATCCATTTTCATTCTCCTACATATGGCTGGGCAATTATCCCAACACAATTTGTTGAAAAGGGTGTCTTTTCACTACTTTATATTTTTGTTCGCTTTGTTGAAGACAAGTTGGCTGTAAGTATTTGGGTTTATTTCTGGGTTCTCTATTCTGTTCCATTGGTCTATGTGCCCATTTTTATACCAGCACCATGCTGTTTTGGTGACTATGGCCTTAAAGTATAGTTTGAAATCAGGTAGTGTGATGCCTCCAGGTTTGTTTTTTTGCTTAGTCTTGCATTGGCTATGCAGGCTTCATATGAATTTTAATTTTTTTTATAATTCTGTGAAGAATGATGGTGGTATTTTGATGGGGATTGCTTTGAATTTGTAGATTGCTTTTGTCAGTATGGTCATTTTCACAATATTGGATTCTATCCATCCATGAGCATGGGATATGTTTCTATTTGTTTGGGTTGTTTATGATTTATTTCATCAGTGTTCTGCAGTTTTCATTGTAGAGGTCTTTTGCCTCCTTAGTTAAGTATATTCCTAAGTTTTTTGTTTTTTGCAGCTATTGTAAAAGGGGTTGAGTTCTTCATTTGATTCTCCACTTGGCCGCTGTTGGTGTATAGAAGAGCTACTGATTTGTGTACATTAATCTTGTATCCAGAAACGTTGTTGAATTCTTATACGAGTTCTAGGAGCTTTCTGGAGGAGTCTTTAGAGTTTTTGAGGTAAACAATCATATCGTCAGCAAACAGTGACAGTTTGACTTCCTCTTCGCTGATTTGGATGCCCTTTATTTCTTTATCTTGTCTGATTGCTCTGGCTAGGACTTTCCAGTACTACATTGAAGTGGAGTGGTGAGAGTGGACATCCTTCTCTTGTTCCAGTTCTCAGAGGGAAGGCCTTCAACTTTTCCCCATTCAATATTATGTTGGCTGTGGCTTTGTAAGAGATGGTTTTTATTAAATTGAGGTATGTCCCTTGTATGCTGATTTTGCTGAGAGTTTTAATCAAGGGATGCTGGATGTTGTCAAATGCTTTTTCTGCATCTAGTGAAATGATCATGTGATTTTTGTTTTTAATTCTGTTTATGTGGTGTATCACATTTATTGACTTGTGTATATCAAACTGTCCCTACATCCCTGGTGTGAAACCCACTTGATCATGGTGGATTATCTTTTTGAAGTGTTGTTGGATTTTGTTAGCTAGTATTTTGTTAAGGATTTTAGCATCTATGTTCATCAGGGATATTGGTCTGTAATTTTCTTTTTTTGTTATATCCTTTCCTGGTTGGTATTAAGGTGATGCTGGCCTCATAGAATGAATTAGGTAGGGTTCCCTCTTTCTCTATCTTATGGAATAGTGTCAAAAGGATTGGTACCAATTCTTCTTTGGATGTCTAGTAGAATTCTGCTGTGAATTCGTCTGGTCCTGGACTTTTTTTGTTGGTAATTTTTAAATCAGCATTTCAATGCCACTGCTTGTTATTGGTGTGTTCAGAGTATCTAATTCTTCCTGATTTAAGCTAGGAGAATTGTATTTTTCCAGTAATTCATTTATCTTTTCTAGGTTTTCTACTTGATGTGCGTAAAAGTTTTCATAGTAGCCTTGAATGATCTTTTGTATTTCAGTGGTGTCAGTTATAATATCTCCTGTTTCATTTCTTAATGAGGTTATTTGGATTTTCTCTCTTCTTCATTAATCTTGCTAATGATCTTTCAATTTTATTTATCTTTTCAAAGAACTGGCTGTTTGCTTCATTTATATTTTGTATTTTTTTGTTTCAATTTAATTTATTTCTGCTCTGATTTTCATGTTTCCTTTCTTCTTCTGGGTTTGGGTTTGACTTGTTCTTGTTTCTCTAGTTCTTTGATGTATGACCTTAGAATGTCTGTGCTCTTTCAGTCTTTTTAATGGAGGCATTTGGGGCTATGAACTTTCCTCCTAGCACCACCTTTGCTGTATCCCAGAGGTTTTGATAGGTTGTGTCATTATTGTCGTTCAGTTTGAAGAATGTTTTAATTTCCAACTTGATTTAGTTTTTGACCCAATGCTCATTCAGGAGCAGGTTATTTAATTGCCATGTATTTGCATGGTTTTGAAGTTCCTTTTGGAGCTGATTTCCAGTTTTATTCCACTGTGGTCTGAGAGAGTGCTTGATATAATTTCAAATTTCTTAAATTTAATGAGGCTTGTTTTATGACCTATCATATGATCTATCTTGGAGAAAGTTCCATGTGCTCTTGAATACAAATGTGTATTCTGCAGTTATTGGATGGAAAGTTCTGTATATATCTGTTAAGCCCATTTGTTTCATGGTATAGTTCAAATCCATTGTTTCTTTGTTGACTGTATGTCTTCATGACCTGTCTAGTGCTGTCAGTGGAATAGTGAAGTCCCCCACTACTATTGTGTTGCTGTCTATCTCATTTCTTAGGTCTAGTAGTATTTGTTTTATAAATTTGGGAGCTCCAGTTTATGTGCATATATGTTTAGGATTATGATATTTTCCTGTTAGACAAGGCCTTTTTACCATTATATAATGTCCCTCTTTATCTTTTTAACTGCTGTTGCTTTAAAGTTTGTTTTCTCTTACATAAGAATAGCTACCCTTGCTGGCTTTCAGTGTCCATTTGCAGGAAATGTCTTTTTCTACCCCTTTACTTTAAGTTTATGTGAGTTCTTATGTGTAGTCTCCTGAAGGCAGCAGATAGTTGGTTGGTGAGTTCTTATCCATTCTGCAGTTCTGTACCTTTTAAGTGGAGCATTTATGCCATGTGTATTGAATGTTAGTATTGAGATGTGAGGTACCATTCCATTCATCATGGTATTTGTTGCCTGTGTACCTTGGTTTTTGGTTTCTGTTTTTGCTTTTCAAATTGTATTTTTGCTTTATAGGTCCTGTCTGATTTATGCTTTAAAGAGGTCCTGTTTTGATGTGTTTCCAGAATTTGTTTCAAGACTTAGAGTTTCTTTTAGCAGTTCTTGTAGTGATGGCTTGGTGGTGGCAAATTTCTCAGCATTTGTTTGTCTGAAAAAGACTGTATCTTTTCTTCATATATGATACTTAGTTTTGCTGGATACAAAATTCTTGGCTAATAATTGTTTTGTTTGAGGAGGCTGAAGATAGGACCCCAATCCCTTCTAGCTTGTAGGGTTTCTGCTGATAAATCTGCTGTTAATCTGATAGGTTTTCTTTCATAGGTTACCTGGTGTTTCTGTCCCATAGGTCTTAAGGTACTTTCCTTTATCTTAACTTTAGATAACCTGATGACAGTGTACCTAGGTGATGATCTTTTTGCAATGAATTCCCCAGAAGTCCTTTGTACTTCTTGCATTTTGTCATATAGGTCTCTAGCAAGGCCAGGGAAGTTTTCTTTGATTATTCCCCCAAATATGTTTGCCAAACTTTTAGATTTCTCTCCTTCCTCTGGAAAACCAATTATTCTTAGTTTGGTTGTTTAACATATCCCAGACTTCTTGGAGGCTTTGTACATATTTTCTTATTATTTTTTCTTTGTCTATGTTGGATTGGGTTAATTAGAAGATTTTGTCTTTGAGCTCTGAATTTCTTTATTCTACTCATTCAATTCTATTTCTTAGACATCCCAGAGCATTTTGCATTTCTATAAGTGTGTCCAATGTTTCCTGAAGTTTTTGTTTTTTCTTTATGCTATCTATTTCTTTGACTATTTCTCCCTTCACTTTTTGTATCATTTTTTGCTATTAATTAAAGAAAACAAGAGACCAATATCTTTTTTAACGTAGATCCAAAACTTTTTTTTCAAAAACTGTTTAAATCATATTCAATAACATACAAAAGAATAATACATTATGACTAAATGGGATTTGTCCAAGAATGCAAGAATTGTTTAACATTTGAAAAATCACTCAGTGTAATTTACCATAGTCATAGATTAAAAAAGAAAAAAATGATTATCTTAAAAGATACCAAAAAGACCAACAAATTTAAATACACTTATGATAAAAATTAGCAGCCAACTAGAGATAGAAAGACTCATTTTCAAGCTAATAAATGATTTATACGAAAAGATTACAGATCAATGTATTTGTTGATGAAAGACTGAGTGTTTTTGCCCTCAAATGAGAAGCAAGACAAGGATGGCTGTGTTCACATCTCCTATTCAACATAGCACTGGAGTTCCTAGCCACTTTAATAAGTCAAGAAAAATATAAGCATACTGATTGGAAAAGAAGTAGTAAAACTGTCTTTTTTTCACAGACAAAAATAAAAGTCTATGTGGAAAAATAAAACAAGCTTACAAAAAAGACACTAGAATTAATAAGTGAATTTTTCAATGTCACAGTTATAAGGTCAGTGTTCAAAAATTAATAGTGTTTCTAAATACTCATCAAGAAATGTTGAAATTTGAAGTTGAAATTGTGCCACCGATAATAGCATCAGAATGTATAAAAAAATTAGGGATACATTTAACAAAACATGTTAGACCTGTATGCTGCAAAATACAAAACATTGGTGAGAAAATCTTTAACATTCCTAATAAATCTTTATACTTTATTAATAGATTAGAAGATGCAATGTGAATTCTCTCCAAATTGATCTACAGATGAAACACAATAGAAAGACCAGCAAGCTTCTTTTTCAGAAATTGCCAAGCTGATTCTAAAATTTGTGTGGAAATACAAATTACTCAAAATAGCCAAAACAATTGTGAATAAAATTCCAAAGATTTAGGACTTAATTTCAAGAATATACTCTATAATTACAGATATCAAAATAGTTTGAATACACGTAGATAAGGGAAGCAGAATTCAGGGTTCAAAAATTGACTATTGTAGATGGTCTGTTAATTTTTTACATAGATGCTAAAGTTATTCAATAGAAAATGGAAACATTTTCAACAAATATTGCTGTAATAACTTTATATTGGTATGCCAAAAAATGTGTTTTTTCTCTATGTCATGCCATGTAAAACAATTAAACTTGAAATAGCTCTGAGATATAAATGTAAGTACTAAAACTCTAAAACTTACTGAAAATAAAATTCTAGTAGGAAATCTTTGTGTCCTTAGGGAAAGCGAAAATTTTGAACCACACAATAAAAAGTTGATAATTTTGACCACATTGAATTTTTAGAAATTCTCTTCAAAAGAAATCTTAGAGAAAATAATAAAACAAGCCTTATCCTGGGAAAAAAAATGTTTTAAAAACATATAGTTTATTCAGATTGTAACCAGAGTATGCTAAAAATACCTATAGCTCAATAATAAGAAGGCAAAAACTAAAGTAAGCAAAATATTTGAATAGGCATTTCACAGAAGGCTATAAGCAACAAATAGGTATATAGAAAGGTATTTAACATTATTAGTCACAGGGAAATGCAAAATTAAAACCACATTACATACCTACTACAACAGCTAAAATTAAAAAGAAAATATCCAGTATTAATGATTAATAGCAACTGATACTCTCATACATTTCTAGTGGGAATTATAATGTTTTTATAATTAAAGAAAACTAGAGACCAATATGTTTTTTATAATGTTTTTATCTGGTTTTTGTATTGAGGTATTACAGGCCTCTTAAAATGAGATAAGGAGGTCTGTCTCCTTCACTTTTCTGAAGAGTTTCAGTAGAATTGGCATTATTTTCTATTACACGTCTGATAAAATTCATCACTGAAGCAATCTGTGCCTCCCATTTCATTTTTTGTTTTCTTTTTTTAAATGGGTAAACCGGAAAGACTTTTAAATGATATTCAATTTCTTTAGTAAACTGGGCTATTCATGTTAACTCAGTCATATTGAGTGAACATTGGTGGTTTGTATCTTTCATGGAATTTGTCTATCTTTTATATATTGTCAAATGTATTAACTTTGCATAATTTTCCCTTATTTGTCTAATATCTATAGATCTGTACTGAGGTTCTCTTGCTTTATATTATTTTTGTCTTTCCTATATTTTTGATCATTTTGAAGTTTGTCAGTTATACTGATCTTTTCAAAGAACCAGTTTCATTTAACTTGCTAAGTATATTTTATTACAAGTGTGCAAAATAGTTTTTCAGCTCTATGCTTATTTGTGCAGCTTCCTGGATCTACAGAATTATAGTTTCAGCAAATATGGAAACAAATTATCCATTACTGCTACAAAAGAATAAGCTGGTTCAATTGTAGGAATCACTTTGCTTCCCTTTTCTTGAGTATCACAGTCCTGTGCCTTCTGTTGTTCAATAGCTGAAGACAATTGTTTCATATATTTTGCCTAGTTTTCTAGGAGTTGAATAAAAGAGAGTAAATTTTGTCTTTGTTATTCTGTCTTGATCTATAATGGAAACCTTAATCTATTTACATTAGTCACAGATATTCAATTCTAAAATCTTCCTAAAGACTCTAAAATCTGGTTAGTGTAAAATCTGTGGAATGTCTTAATGACTCCATTTGAGAAATCTAGATGCTAATCAATTCTACAGCAATTTCTATTGTGCAATCCAGTATTTAATATAGAATGTCAGATTCGAAAGGACATTTATAGTCCACTAAATTATTTATCTTTATGTAGTATTCTTTGAAGACTATTTTAATCAGGGATTTTGGATAGATTTTGAAAGCTTCTTATCTTTTATGCAGAAGAGTTTGTACTTTATACCATTTATAGTCTGGTGCATTTTGGTGAGAATAAGGTTGTCATGCTAAGTGTAATCTGAAGGATATTCAGAACAATCTTTCTCCCTTAACCTTAGAATTGATAAAAATCAACTATTTGTATGCATATATAGACCCACACCCATATATACGATCAGTGATTTGGCAAATTGGCAATCTCCTTATTTATTGTAAGTATTTTGATTCCTGTTTGAGTAATCATTATCTATGCCTAAGTGTTTGTGTGTGTGTGTGTGTGTATACACATGCATAACCACACACATATTCTGCTATGTATATCCTTCTAATAGTTTCAAATTTTTTGTTTTTATATTTAAATATTTAATCAATCTAATATTTGTTTGAGTGTGTTTGTATGCTGTTGTTGTAGGGATCCAATTATTATTAATGAGGATGAACAATTGTCTTTGCATCCATCATCCAATTACTTATATTGCCTGGTCTTTCACATATAAAGTACACACACACACACACACACACACACACACACACACACACACACACATATTTGGCTTGGTTTCTAGGGTTCATTTTGTGTTTATCATTGGGATACTTGTAAATCAATTTAACAAATTAGTAATGTATGGTAAGTCTAGCGATACAGTTAACAAGCCCTTCCTCATTTTTTTTAGTCATTTTGAATTATTAGGCAATCGTGATAGCATAATGAAATTAAAATTTTAGCAAAAGAGAAAACCTAACAAACTTATCATAGAGTTAATTTCATTAAAACTAAACTATAACTAAATGAGTACAAAAATAATTAAAAAGTAGCATTTAAAAAACAATCTACATAATTTAGAGACTATGTTGAAATAATTTAAGATTCAGGACAAAATGGTATACAAGATAAAAACAAATACTGCCCTACTAATTGGCAGTCATCAAGGTTATCATAAGAAAATTACAGTGATCGTCTATTATTAATTTTTCCAGTTCATATTTCAAGTTGCTGTCCTTTTAATCTATCAGAAATAAAATGATCAGGTCACTGTAAAAAGTAAAAAGTCTTAATTTACTCCTAAGCCCTACATTTTTCTGATTCCAATGTGCTTTTTAAATATGACTTTCTATTAGTTCGTTTTATATTTATAATTTTAGCTTAATAAAAGTACTTGTGATTCTCCATACTACTTGACTCAGTATTTCCACTTTATTTACTTTGTGTATTCTGTTTACTCTGCTTTGTGTATCACTTACCTATCATTTCCAAAATCAATCCATGTTTCAAAACCCAGTGTAAATGTTAGCTTGCCTGTCACTCCATGCAGAAATACCAGCAACCTCATTTGAATCTGTTTAACGTTTTCATCCTTTATATCATAAATGTGTTAGTTTCTACCTTGTATTATTACTTATGCGATAGCTTAATCTCTTTAATTAGACTTCCTATTCTTCACAAGCCTTACCTGTGCATGATGCATTTTTATTTAGTTAACATGCTAGTTTTTATCACGTAGTAGCTGATTTACAAATATGTGTTGAATTAATGTAAACTAGGGATAAGATTTGTCAAAGGATATAGAAAAGCAATAGTAGATAATGACAAAAACAAGGAAATGAGGAGGTTTTAATTATTTAAAAAGCGAGGCCAGGCGCGGTTCCTCACGTCTGTAATCCCAGCACTTTGGGAGGCCAAGGCAGGCAGATCACGAGGTCAGGAGATTGAGACCATCGTGGCTAACATGGTGAAACCCCATCTCTACTAAAAATACAAAAAGAAAAAAAAAAAAAATTAGCCGGGCATGGTGGCAGGCGCCTGTAGTCCCAGCTACTTGGGAGGCTGAGGCAGGAGGATGGCGTGAACCTGGGAGGCGGAGCTTGCAGTGAGCCGAGATCGTGCCACTGCACTCCTGCCTGAGCAACAGAGCGAGAGTCAGTCTCAAAAAAAAAAAAAAAAAACAAAAAAGGAAGGTAAACCATCATAAAGAACACCTGATGATTGGGGATAGATTACAATGATATAAAATTTTTCTTTGCATACTTTTCTAGGAGGATAAGGACAAATAAATCCCTAGAACTAATGGCATCCACTCAGGTGATTAGGAGTTCAGAGCTGAAAATTGGAAACTGTTATACGAAATGATAAATTGTCATTATAAATGACCCCTGTGTCAGAGAACAAATGTGACTGGTATAAATTAATAGAAATAATGACAGTTACTATATAAGCTACTGTAAAATAAAATAGTAACACCAAAAAACAAAGTTAATATTTACTGAGGGGTTACATACCAATATGTGCATGCATGTGCACACACATATACACACACACTCAGAGGACTCTAATAGAGTAACTGTTCACAACCCAATGACAGGACCTTTAAATTGTTATAGGTTGGTCTACTCCATGCTGGTGATTCCCAAATACTATCTCCAATCTGGCTGTGGTTTTGTCCCCAAACTCCGAAATTAATTATCCAACTGTCTTTTTGATATATCCATTTGAAGATGTCATTTGGAAAAGTGTCAGGTGTCTACTCATGATCAGTAAATATTTACTGATTCAGAAAGAGAATAATATTTGGAACCACTTAGAGTTTATTGTTGGGATGAAAGAAAATATTCCAGTGTAACTAATTGCAATAGTAACTTAAGTGATAACAACAATGTAATTATTTTAAAGGATGCTGCAAAACTGCTTCCAAAATTCAGGGACCTGTCCTAATAATAAGCTCAACTAAAATATAATTTGATAGCACATTAAAACAATTTAAAGATTATATGGAAAATGTTCATAGCAAGCATAATATTAAATGTTAAAACACTAATCTTATTTCCATTAAAATCTGGATGGATACAGTGATATCCTCCAGAATCACTATCATTCAATTCTGTTTTAGAGATTCTAAACAATGCAATATGGAAAAATAATCAAGTAAGCAGAGAAAATGTTACAATGTGAGATATGAATAACATGTATATGGCAAAAAGAAAAAAGAAATGGTATTAAAACTATTAGCATTAGTAGGAGAATATTGCAAAGTCAGTTGAACAAGCTATATATAGAAAAATTTTTTAAGTTAAAATAACAAATTAGAAAATTTTGATTATGAAAGTATAACTAGGCATTATAATGTCCCAAATAAAACTAGATATATTAGGAAGTAAATTTACTAAGTTACTGGATACATATGAAGAAAACTATAGAAGTTTGTTTTAGGATACCAAATAAAACCTGAACATATATGGAAAACATGCCACAATGCTGTATAGGAAAACTGAATATTATTCAAATATTTACCACATTAAAAATTAAATACAATATATTAATTCATACATTCATTGATTTAACAAATTTACTAAATGCCCACATGTCTTTAGCACTAGGTATACAGGCATGAGAGAGATGGACAATATTTCTTCCTCCAAGAGCTTACATTCTAATGGTACAGAGAAAAAATAAACATATAAACAAGTTAACTTTTTTTTTAGGTAGTAGTAAGTGGCGTAAAGAAAAAAGAAACCAAAATCACACAGGAATGAGCCTGATGGTGGTGGTTGGCTGGCCTTTTAGATAAGCGGCCAGGGAAAGTCTCTGTGAAGAGGACCTTTCAGAAGAGGCATCTAAGCAGTCAGCGGTCATTCCAGGCAACAATCTGAAGAAAAAGCCTCTGTTCAACAAGATCAACAAGTGCAAAGCTCTAAGGTCAAAGTATTCATGGTATGTTAGGGGAGAGCAGAGCAATTAACAGTGAAGCAGTGTGAACAAGGGTGATAGTATGACAGAAGATGAATTTTATGGAATATTGAAAAGAAAACCCATGTAGGACCTGTACACACATACCAACCATACATATGTAATACACAGTACACAATATTATATGGAATGTAACATACGTTGAATATGGTACATATATATTATATACATATTTTACATATATGCATATATTATATATGTATTATATATAACATATATACATATATGTTAGATTAAGTGAAAACTTTTTGATAAACATTGTATACATTATACATTGTAGTTAAAGAGTGAAGATTTCTAAGAAAAAGTCATAACACACCTAATATACAAATATGCAATTCATTTGGAGGAAGGGTAAATGACCTATAAACATAAGAAATTCAAATTATTTGGCAAAGAAATATTAATCAAAACAATTATATACTGTTTTCAACAAAAGTTTGGCAAAATAAAGAATGAAAACATTCAGTGCTAAAGTATTTTTGGAAAAACTATTTGCCCCCAGCAAAATCTATGTTTTAGAAACTATCCCTAATAATTAAATTATATATGAGGCTCTATTTTCAAAGATGTTTATTCAATATTTTTATAAGCAACACCCTCTTATCCATAGGCAAGATTTGAATAAATTACAGTAGTATATTTTTAACAAAAAATATGCTAATAGAGTGAATGAATAAGAAAATGAATTAATGCTGTATGAATTAACTTGTAGAGAACCATATATATCACTAAACTAGCATGTTAAAGAATTATATATACTACATAATGCCATATATTTATATAAGTTAAATCTTTATGTGTATATTTGTTTTAGTAAGAGAAAAGTATGGGTCAACCCACACAAAAAGTTATTTGCTACCTGCTAGGTAAGAATTTTGTATTTGAGGAGAGTTAGTGGTTTATTAACTTTTAAAAATACAGCTCTGTGGGGTTTTTTTTCTACTGGCTTCAGTGAGCATTCTTCTTTATAATTTTATAAAAATTCAATAAAATAAATTAAAAAGAAAGTAATGACATTAATGTAGGCTTTTCTCTCTAAAAGTCATAAGGGATTCTGGCTAAACTTCCTCCTTCCCTGTAACCATCTTCCTTGTCCCTGATATATACCAAGGGGTAGTATGGAAAATTTGCCTTACATGCAAGCAATAAGTGAGTATATTGTAGAAAAATTTAAAATCATGTTCAAAGCCACTAAAAGTTAGTTGGATTATTATCACCATGAGCTGGCAATTCTACATAATACTAGTGATAAAATGACCATCCCACAGGAATCCTTACTATCCACCCCCCAACCTCCATCATTATCGCTTTTTCGTGTTCTCATTTCAGCCTTGACCATTGCTTTTAACAATGAAATGGAAAATGCAAGAAAGCCAACATTTTTAATGTCTTCTTGTCTTTTTTTTTTCCATTAATACATTTTATTTTCTAGAGCAATTTTACGTTCACAGAAAAATTGAACAAAATGTATGGAGAGTTCCCATAAACTCCAGTTCCCACAAACAGACAACCCTTCAATCAACATCCTAGACCATAGTAGTACATTTGTTATAATCAATAAACCTACATTGAGACAACAACATTATCATCTAAAGTCCATAGTTTACATTAGGGTTCACTCTTAGTATACATTCCATGGGTTTTGACAAATGTATAATGACATGTATCCAACATTGTTATATAGAATAGTTTCAGTGATCAAAAAAAAACCCTCTATTCTCCACCTCCTTCCTCCCTAACCTCTGGGACCAATTATCAGGGGAAACTCAGCCAGATATCAGGCAAAATTCACCCCCGATATTTCATGTAGGTTCTTTTCTATTTTCCCTAAGCATCGGCTGGTTTGAGAAATAAAGGGACAGAGTACAAAAGAGAGAAATTTTAAAGCTGGGCATCCGGGGGAGACATCACTTGTCAGTAGGTTCCGTGATGCCCCCTGAGCCGTGAAACCAGCAAGTTTTTATTAGTGATTTTCAAAAGGGGAGGGAGTGTTTGAATAGGGTGTGGGTCACAGAGATCACGTGGTTCACAAGGTAATAGAATATCACAAGGCAAATGGCAGGGCGAGATCACAGGAGCACAGGACCGGGGCAAAATTAAAATTGTTAATGAAGTTTCGGGCACGCATTGTCATTGATAACATCTTATCAGGAGACAGGGTTTGAGAGCAACCGGTCTGACCAAAATTTATTAGGCAGGAATTTCCTCATCCTAATAAGCCTGGGAGCGCTATGGGAGACTGGGGCTGATTTCATCCCTACGGTTTCGACCATAGAAGACGGCCACACCCAAGGGGGCCATTTTCGAGGCCTACCCTCAGGGGCGCATTCTCTTTCTCAGGGATGTTCCTTGCTGAGAAAAAGAATTCAGCGATATTTCTCCCATTTGCTTTTGAAAGAAGAGAAATATGGCTCTGTTCCACCCAGCTCACCAGCGGTCAGAGTTCAAGGTTTTCTCTCTGTTCCCTGAACATTGCTGTTATCCTGTTCTTTTTTCAAGGTGCCCAGATTTCATATTGTTCAAACACACATGCTCTACAATTTGTGCAGTTAACGCAATTATCACAGGGTCCTGAGGTGACATACATCCTCCTCAGCTTACGAGATGACAGGATTAAGAGATTAAAGTAAAGACAGGCATAGGAAATCACAAAGGTATTGATTGGGGAAGTGATAAGTGTCCATGAAATCTTCACAATTTATGTTTAGAGATTGCAGTAAAGACAGGCATAAGCAATTATAAAAGTATTAATTTGGAGAACTAATAAATGTCCATGAAATCTTTCACAATCTATGTTCTTCTAACATGGCTTCAGCCTGTTCCTCCATTCAGGGTCCCTGACTTCCCGCAACAACCAATGATCCTTTTATTGTCACCATAGTTTTATCTTTTCCAGAATGACATATAGGATGAATCACATGTAGCCTTTCCGTTTGACTTCTTTCACTTAGTAACATGCATTTAGGGCTCCTCCTTGTCTTTTCATGGCTTGGTAGCTCATTTAATTTTCTTGCTGAATAGTATTCCATTATCTAGATGTACCACAGTTAATAATTAGGTAATAAAATAATTAATAATTAGTTTATCTACTGAAAGACATCTTGGTTGCTTTCAAGTTTTGGCAATTATGAACAAAGCTGCTATAAACATCTGTGTGCAGGTTTTGTATGGACATATTTTCTTCCTGAGAGCAGGCCTTGCTAAGAACAGAATACTCTCACATGTTGCAAAATGGCTCCTTTTCCCCTTTCCCTGCTGAAAGCACTAGATGTTTCTTCAATATTCACTGTGAGAACCAAGGCAAGCTCCTGGAGGTGAAACTCACCAAAGTTTGGGGATGCCCACTGACTGCGTCTCCCTGGAGTTTTTATCTCTTAAACTTGTCCACACTGAGCTTCCAGCAATTCATCAATTACAGTTCAGATTTTCCTACCATAACACTGGTTCCCACAGAAATTTCAGAATGAATTTCTGCCCCACTAAGTTGTGGTTCTCTGTTTCTATTTATCCCTTCAGTTTTCTGGGCAATGGTTTGTCTTGTAACTTCAGTTCTCTGAAGAAACTAAGAAAGAGTTGTTGATTTTTTTATTTTTCTAGTTGTTGTTATGATGGAGGAATGATTTATAAGCTTCTTACAAAGTACTGTTCACACTCAATATGCACATAAATGTTCTCAAATAAATCAGTCTTCATATGATTTTGTGTGATGTATATTTAAAACTAATTTGTGAATTTGAAAGAAAGAAAAAATTTTATTTACCATTGGGATGTACCTGCTGTATGAAAACTTGTTTTCGAGTCATATGAAACTGAAGGAATAGCATTACTCAGATAAATCTATAAACACTCAGAAAATGTTTTTTTCAAATTCCATTCATATTGTATTTATAATATTAATCCTTAACTGATATAAACTTCTTCTTGGAATATTAAGTTTTATTTTTCCCAACATTAAAACGTTGTCTTAAAATGAATTTTAAAATAAGAAGTCAATAGGATGAACACACAATTGCAGCTGTTCTGGGAGAAAGTTGGGTGCTGATCTTTTTTCCCACTTCTATTTAGTTCCTCCCCTAAGATGGTCCCTCAGGCACCTTCTCAGAATATCTATGGATCTCCAGAGAAGTATTTCAGTATTTTGCTGCAGATAAAATGTATACCATGTACAAGAATCACTTCAATTACTTAAAGTATTCTAAGATTATTTGCAAAACATTGAATTATTAGCAATAGCATTATTATTCTAATAATATGAATATGACTATTTTTATTGTTTCAACTAGAGATTGTGGCCAGGAAACATTTACTCAGATAACTGACACAGTTTAAACTCTGTGATAATCAATATATTGTACATGACATAGTAATATGTAACAATTCTATAAAGATGCACATTTCACCATAAATCAAGTACAGTAGCTCCCCACCCCTTGTCTGTGGTTACGTTTTCTGCAGTTTTAGTTACTTACCCAAAGTAAACTGTAATCCAAATATACTAAGTGGTAAATTCCAAAAATAAATAATTAGTAAGTTTTAAATTGCCATTCTGAGTAATGTGATGAAATCTCAGGCTGCCCTGCTCCATTCTTCCCAGGATGTCAGTCATCCCTTTGTCCAGTGTATCTAGCTGTATACACTACCTACTCATTAGTCATAAACATTGACATCGACACTGTCTGCTCCTAATACCCAACCATCGATATTGTAATGGCTTGATGATCCAGGATCAACCAAAGCAGATGATCCCCAATCTGACATATCATCAGAAAGTCAATAGTAGCCTAATGCTACAGCGCAATGCCTATGTCATTCACCTCACTTCATCTCATCACAATGCCTATGTCATTCAGCTCACTTCATCTCATCACAATGCCTATATCAGTCATTCACCTCATCTCATCTCATCTCATTGCATTTTATCATCTCACATTATCACAAGAATTGTGCATACAGTACAATAAGATATATTGAGAGAAAGAGAAAGACCACATTCATATAACTTTTATTACAGTATTTCATTATAATTGTTTTATTATTATTGTTGTTAATTTCTTATTGTCCCTAATTTATAAGTTAAACTTTATCATAAGAATGTGTATAAAAACAACAACAACATAGTATATACAGTGTTTGGTATCATCCATGATTTCAGACATCCACTAGGGGTCTTGAAACATATTCCCCACAGATGAAGGGGGACTACTATATATTAAAGATTACATGTTGTATAATGTATTTTGAAAGCTAGTATAATATATTTTAGGAAAAATATATAATGTGCCAAATTCTTCCTTGCAAAATAATTTTACCCCCACACTATAAAACACAGAAAATGTTTAGTGAAAATCTTTGAAAATGTAGTACAAACCAGAAAGGCAAATGTGCCTCCAGTCTCAGTCAGCTGTGTTTTAAAATCACCCAACTCTCATTAAGAGGATTCATCTATCATATTTCTCTCATCTCAATGCCTTCTTACTTTATTTTATTGTTAATTCTCTCTCTCCTGAGGGAGAAGGCTGGAATTAAAAATCAGAAAATAATTGTCCTGAATCTGACTTTCATTTTATTTTATAAGATGGAAATAAGCATAAACCATCTACAATCATAGCTCATCATATGCAGTGGTTTCAATAGGATTCACTGTTACATAAGGATATTTTTTACTCATGTAAATTTCTATTTCTTTATTTACACATAGCTCCTAGAAATAAGACATGCTCAAATTAAAATCTCTTTAATTGTCTGTTCATTTGGTTACTGGTCCTTTATACTCTCTCCAGTCGCTCTCTCACTACGTCCTGACCTGCACATAAAACACAACCTTTTTTTGGCACACATGTTCCCACTTGCCTTTTTGACTTCTTGACATGGAGATTTCTGCCTCTATGTTTTAGTTTCTGTGTCTGTGTCTTTCTGTGGTATTTCTTCAGCCTCCCTTTTTGGCTCTATGAGCTTGGTCTTTCTGCTTGGTTTTGCTTGGGTCTCTGGTTTTTGTCTTCCTTGAGGTCTTGGGTCAGAAACAACTAATTTTATATCTCATGAATCTTAGATGCAAATGTACGACTGCCGCTCTCTTCCTTATCCTAGCATCCCTCAGACATATTATACTCAGAATGTCCAGAACTGAACCTAGTATCTTCCTCTCTGATTCTGCTCTCTCACTGTACTTTCTCTGTTGGCAACATCCTACCAGTTATATTTGGTTCCTTCTTCTACATTACTACCATTAATAATGGGGCAACCCAATGTTTCTGTCAAGCCTATCATCAACATTTTCTTCCAGCTGTTACAGATTAGCTTTATCAATATTCCTTCATTTCTGGTTTTGGTTCATTTCATTCCAAAAAAAGTAGAGAATGACTACAGTTATTTCAAATCCAAATTATTTAGCATGAACTCAGTTCTTTAATGTATTAACATGCATTTAAAAAATTTATAAATGTCACTGGGTTGTTATTTTAGAAAACTGAGCATTCCCTTTAGCCAATAAACAGGTGGATTTTAATAGCACTACCTGAATACCATGGTGGTGCATGTTTGCCTGAGTTTAAAACAAAATGCTTCCAGATATGTGAGAGTATTACCAACCTTTGTTTTTCTCATCCATATTTCATAGAAAAGTGGCAGCTAATTCAATTGTATAGACCAACATACTATAATATTTTGAAGGCAGTAAACTTTGGTTGTATGTGTTTTTTATTTTGGTTCTGTTGTAGTTTTTATATCTGTGTGGAAAGAGAAGCCAGATAATCAAGGGGGGAGAGCTTGTGTTTCTTAGTTATCTGTGAGAAACCTTAAAGTAGCCTGACTAAATAAAACTGCTTTTCTTAGGTATCTTTTTCTTCATTCTCCCATTCCACTGCATAGGCCAAATCACTATGAGGCTATTTGACACATGGAAGAATTTTCTCTGCCTAAGGAGAAGGAAATAGTATTCATCTGAACTGGGAGGGAGTAGATTTGCTGTTCTATAGTGTTTATAGGGCATAGGAAAAAATTTAATAGTCTAGGGATTCTATTTACAATGACCACCTCCAGAAAATCTGCTTGGACTGGTTATTACCACGTTTAACTATCTTTTCTTCTGAAAAGCGAAGGTGCCAGATACAGAGCGTTATAAAGTAGTGCATGCAATACATTTAGGAATGTGAGAAAGAGAAATGGAATAAAGCACAAAAGGAGATGACTGATGCTTGTATGGAGCTCCCATTTAGGTGACGTCAGTTATAGCAACCTGTGCAATTAAGCTCATTTTCGGATAGCACAGAAGGCACTAGAGTTTTCCTTTCTTCTTGATAATCAATCAGAAAAGAAAAGAATGTGCTTATTTTTGATTAATTAAAAAATAAACAAACTTGGTTAGGTATAGATATGTATTTTTAAAACCCAAAGAAATAACTTTCAATCATTGCTTTCAAAGATTAATAAAACGTAATGCACGAGTTTGTCACTGTCACAAATTTTTGAAGAAACCATTACATTGGAAAAAAAGTTTGACAAATATTTTGTGTACTAACTGATCTCTTAGAGTCTTATAAACTTTAATCTAGATATAGAAGCTTTTCTTTTACTTTTTGTTGTTTAAACAAGAAATTAGTGACGGACTGTTAAAGTATAATTTAATCACTGGATTAATTGTTTATGAGGATATGTAGCAAAATCTTTAAACATGCTAATGCCTCTCTTTTTCCTATCAACTTACTCTCTTAGAGATAATATAATGTTTATTCTCTACAGTCTATGTAGTATGCCACATAAGAACCTCACCTAGGAACAAATCCATTCTTAATGCAGTAGGTAGAGTCCTATCCCATCTTAAAAAAAAAAAAAAAGCAAAAGCAGCTTTAATAACTAACAGCCATATTCTTACTCAAACTATGAGATGACTTATAGAGTACCTGGTAGTGTTCCTTGCTCTCTATCTAATTATTTTGCATTAGCCTACTCTGTGTTTGCGTTTATCTCCTGATCCAGTCAACAAAACAATCTAAATTTTTAGCCTATTTGCCTACTTTCTCATAATGGTTTTTTCTCCATTTCCATTTTGAGTATAGTCAGTTAACAGACTGGTTTCTTTTTAATAGGCTTTATGAATCACTTTATTATTAATGTGCCTTGTGGTTCATATAACATGAATACTGTATGAATGTAAAATGAATTCTTGAACTCATTATATATGTAATTTATTTTAAAGTTGAAAACTTCATTTGGCGAATCATCCTCTGGTTATTCTGTTTTACTCTTGCCATTAGTATTGAATGATGATGCTTGGGATTTTTTTTTCTATATGAATAAAGGAAGAAGAGTATTTGATTATGGTAATATATGATTAAGAATTTATATGCTTTTTACCCAATTTAAAATATTAAAATCATCAAATTAAAATCATATACTTTTAACATTTTAATTTATCAAATGATAAACCTCTTTTATGATTGCCATGAAAATGAAAAATACTCATTTTGTAAGGTTTTAAATATACTCAGATTTTGATTGTAATAAAGTCAAAGTAATGTCTGGTTAAGGCTTCCCCAAAAGATAGGGTTAAATTCAGTGGCTATGCAATTCTTGTGACCTTTTTCAGATATTGGAGATAACTTAGTCATTTTCCATTTCTCAGCTGTAGTATTTCTTTTGAATGTTGTGAACTTTTTAAAAATGTCACTAAAATGTTAACTATTTTTTTTCTTCACACATTTGTCGGTTTTGACTATAGTAGCTTGGGTGCTAAAAAGTCTATTGCAAATATCTTTAACAAACTCTGTAACTATTTCTCAACTTATAGGTAATCCTGTTTCACACTTGAATGCATGATATATGACATCAAATAATCTATGATCTAGTTTTCTGAAATGACATGGAGAAAGATCACTAGTTTCTTTTTCTAATATTCATTAATTTACCAACTTATTCAAGCAGCTCATATTTTGTTCTTATATTTCTGCTATGTTTACCTACATTTTGGATGATTTTGTTAAACTCTGGGAAGGTATGAATAATATAACCATAAACGATGGAAGAAACTCACAAAAGAAAAATGTAATAGACATTCATCTAAAAAGTTAAAACTTTTATATGAAAAATAAATACTTAAAATCCACAGAAAGAAGTAGAAACAGAATATTAGTAAATACCACAGATAACTAACAAATGTTGATGAGTTGCTACGTCCCAAGCCCCTTTCTAAGAACTGCTCACTTCCATTAATGGAAAAGGAAGCTGAGCACCTAGCCCCATTCACAAAACTATTAAGAGGCAGTGCTTGACTCTAAATGTAGACAGTATAGTTCAAGAAACCATACTCATCTTAACCATTATCACTAAGAGTTAACTGATTAGGGCATATCTAGATAGTTGGAAACAAAAGTGATGCAGATGTATCCTAACTTCTATTAATTACACACTCAGAAAGGCTGTATAAACACAAAAATTTCTATCTCAGACAAATAGACTCTACGGCCTTGGTGCTACAAGTTGGATATGGCTGGATATTTTGTACAGGAAAAATTCAAATGGTGGGCTTGCATAAATCATAGGTATGGATATGCTTTTTTATTACCTTTTGGTATTATAATACATAGATATAAAGGATTTATTTAAAACCCTGGAACCTTGTAGAAGCAAACACAAAACTTCTCCATTGGGCTATTTTTGGTTTTGAACAAATTTTTCTTTCCTAAACTCTAAAAATGAGTTAACAACAACAACGACAACCAAAAAGTTACAAACCACTGTAAGGAAGAATAAACACATGTAAACAACAGGAGAATTAATATACTCAAGAACATTACAGTTCACCCTCTGTCTCTGTGGGTTCCTTATCCACAGATTTCACCAACCATGGATCAAAAATATTGGAGAAAAACATCAAAAAGTACAATTCAACAGCAAAAATGATACAAATAAAAATATACAGTATAATGACTATTTATATAACATTCACATTGTATTAGGTATTATAAGTAATCTAGAGATGATTTAAAATATATGAGAGGATGTGCATAGGTTATATGCTCATATGATGCCATTTTATATCAGGAACCTGAACATCTAAGGATTTTGGTATGCACTGGGGTTCCTGGAACCAATCCCCTATGGATACAAGAGAATACTGTATAAGATAAAAGAATCTGATAAGAGTTTATGAAATATATGATTCATATGATTAAACAAATGATATAATAGAACACAGAAGGAAAAACCTGGAAAGCATATATACACAAAGAACAGATATATTTTTCAAATATCCAAATAGACTTCTGGATTCAGCTCTAATATATAAAGAGCTTGAAAGTCATCACTCTTGTCTTTACAATAAGAAAAATCTGGACAAAATGAAAAATAATGACTTCATTTGGACCCATCTAAAAACAAGTTGCAGTAACAGCCACGACTTTGAAATCTGGATAGAGACAAATACAGAGTGATACAGCAAATGAGATCAGGAGTTGAAGCCATTGGATCCATCAACTGAGAGGAATAAGTACAATGGTAATTTTGACAAATTGCTGGAGGCTGATCCAGAACTAGCCTGGTAATTAGAAAGCGCCAGGCTTTCTAACCCACATATTCATGTGCTTTCTCTCTAGTAGCTCACCAACAAGTTCTCCTAGCCTGAATCCTGGAAAGTTTCCTTCAAGGGAGAGAAGAGTAACCATTATGAAGTAAGACTGTAACCTTTTCCAAAAAAAGTTATGCTTTCCAGGGGAAAGAACTTAACCTAATACAATTCTGAAACTATTCCAGCTGAAGAAAACAGAGGAGCAGAAAAAAATCATGACTTTTTTTAAGGGTGTATGTGTTGAGTACTATAATTGAGTGGACATAAATATGATCTTTTATGACTGTTGATATATACCTATGCAAGAATACATTTAGATTTCTTGCAAATATTCTGTTAAAGAATAATTCAATTCACCCACTATTTATCCCTACTATTATATGGTGACATGTACCAGGCAAGTACCAGTGACAGGGTAAATAAGCATGTAAAAATATGAGGAACATTTGGGAGGCCAAGGCAGGCAGATCACCTGAGGTCAGGAGTTGGAGACTTGTCTGGGAAACCTTGTGTCTACTAAAAATACAAAAATTAGCTGGGCATGGTGGTGTGCACCTGTAATTCCAGCTACTTGGGAGGCTGAGGCAGGAGAATTGCTTAAACCCAGGAGGAAGAGGTTTTAGTGAGCCAAGATCACACCACTGCACTCCAACCTGGGTGACAGAGCTGGGTGAACTGCTGGTGAGGATGAAGAACAACACTGACTGGAATAGAATTAATTCCAGAATGAACAGTGGCACCACTACTAGTTTGGAAGATAGTTTGGCATCTTCCAAAGTATTAAGTAATCTCTAGATTACTTATAATACCTAATGCGATGTAAATGCTATATAAGTAGTTGTTATACTGCGTACTTTCATTTGTGTCATTTTTTACTGTTGTATTGCATTTTTATGTTTTTCCCCCAAATATTTCACAAACTTTTTATAAAATTTTTTACAGAGCTAAATGTAGCTTTACTGTACAATCCAATGATTGTGTTCTTAGGTGTTTACCCAACTGATTAGAAAACTCATGTCCATATAAAAACCTTCATGCAAATATTTACAACAGCTTTATGCAAAATTGCCAAAGACTTGAAGAAACCAAGATGTTGTTCAGTAGGTGAATGGAAAATCAAATTTTGGTACATCTATGTAACGGAATACTATACAGCAATAGAAAGGAGTGCGGTATAAAGCCACACAAAGACCTGATCTACTAAATGTAATATGGTATCAAGATGGGATCTCAGAATAGAAAAAGAACATTCGATGAATGCTAAGGAAATCTGAAAAAACATATGGTGTTACTAAACAGTAACGTATCAATATTGATCCATTAGTGATAACAAATATACTAATGTAAGATAATAACAATAGGAGAGGCCGAGTATAGTGGCTCACGCCTGTAATCCTGGCACTTTGGGAGGCCAAGGCAGGCAGATCACCTGAGGTCAGGAGTTCAAGAACAGCTTGGCCAACATGGTGAAACTCCATCTTTACTGAAAATACGAAAATTAGCCAGGCATGGTGGCACATACCTGTAATCCCAGCTAGTTGGGAGGCTGACACAGGAGAATCGCTTGGACCTGAGAGGAAGACGTTACAGTGAGTCGAGATCACATCATTGCACTCCAGCCTAAGTGACAAGAGTGAAACTCCTTCTCAAAAACAATAAACAAAAAACAAACAACAAAAACACAATACAAGAAAGTGGTATAGTATATACAGAAACTCTCTAATATCCTTTCTACTACTTTTCTATAAACCTAAAGGTATACCTAAATAAAATGTTTATTAAAAGCTAATAAAGCGTCCGAAATTTATATATAAACATGTGCATAAATTCATTTAAATAAAAAAATTGTAGTGGCTAGGTACAACTGAGCAAAGAAGTAAAGGTAAATGTGAGGTATCGGTTACAATACAATTCAAAAAGATAAAGAGATGAAAAATGTAAAAGACTGCTTGAAAGCTGGATAATATTTCAGAAGAGCAAGGGTAACAAAAATAAAACATGAAAAAATTATAATTTACCACATTTGCATACAGAATAATGGTGAAAAATTATGTGATCATCTTAATAGATTCAGAAATAAAAGGATAAAATTTATGCTCATTTATTGTAAATGACTTAACAAATGAATAGAAAGAAATATATAATCAGATAAAGAAATTTTTAAAAATCATAATGGTGAATTATTTTCTGTGTGTCACTGGGAAGTCATCAGGAATGCCAGTTATAACCACTGCTATTCAATTCTATACTGGAGTTCTCAGTCCATACAATAAGGAAGAAATAAAATTGCAAACATCTGCTGATAAACACATTTTGAAATTTAAGAGTCCAAAATAATCTGTAGGTAAGGTACATGAAAATAAATGAGTTTAGCACAGTCAGTGAACAAAAATAAATTAAAATTTATAGCTATCAGCAACAAATTATTGGAAAATAAAATTTTAAAATGTCATGCCAATGATATAAAAAAAAATACCAAAAAGAACTAACAAAAGATGCACAAGACCTCCAAACTGACAACTACAAAAAATTATTGACAAAAACTAGGAATTATATAAACAAATAGAAGAAGGTATTATGATTATACATTCAATATTTTATGGATGCTAGTTTTCCAAAAATTGACCTTTAAATAAATTCAATGTAATCCCAATTAAAAATCTCAGCGGATTGTATGTGTGTGTGAAAATTGACATGCTGATTTAAAAATTTATATGAAAATTTATATAGAATTTGATAATGAGAGCAATTATGAATAAGAAAATAGCTTAGAGAATTTACATACCAAATATTAAGATTTATATAAAACTAATATAAGTAAGACAATATGACATTGACATAAAAATAAAGAGACCAATGGGAGAAAAGAGCACAAGTAACAAATAGAGCCATAAATATGTAGGACAATGGAAAGTTGGTCTTATCAATAACCAGTGCTCATTCAACTGGGTTTCCATATGGAATGAAAAGAATTTTGAGTACTATCTTACACTACATACAAAATTGATTCCAGATGTGTTGTTGATCTAAGAATGAAAAAAAAATCAAGATTCTAGAAAAGAAGAAGTAGGAGACTATCTTCATGAGGTTAAGTTAATGAAATACTTCTTTGAGAGGACACAAAAAATGCTAACTAATAATAAAAAGATGATATATTGAATGACATTCAATAAAGAGTATCTATTGATTAAAAGATACCATTAAAATGAATGGAAGGGCATGACACAGAGAAGAGTGAAGATATCTAATTATAGATATCTAGAAATGAATCTAGAAATGAAGTTCTAAAAATAGATTTAAAAGAGGCAGACAGCCAATAAAAATGGACAAAGACTTGAACAGGCACATTAAAAAGAAAAAAGGATATGCAAATGGAAAGTTAACATATGAAAACGTTCTCAACTTCATTATAAGTGATAAACAAATTAAAACTACAGTGTTTTTGTTAGTCAGTTTGGGCTGCTGTAACAGAATACCATAGACTGGGTGGGTTATAAACAACAGAATTCTTTTTCTCGCAGTTTGCTAGAAATCTGAGATCCATGCGAGCATGGTTGGGTTCTGGTAAGGGCCCTCTTCTGGGTTGCAGACTGCTGACTTCTTGTTTTCTCACATGATGAAAAGAAAGCTAGCTAGCTCTCTGGCCTCTTCATAGAAGGGCACTTATTTCATTCATGAGGGCTCAACCATCGTGATCTAATTACCTCCCAAAGTCACCACCTCCTAATAACATCACATTGCAAGAGGTAGGATTTCAACATATGATTTTTGGGTGAAGCACAAACATTCTGACCATAGCAGTGTTATACTACTTTATTCCCATTAGCATGGCTAAAATGCAGAGAGAGAGAGAGAGATAAAGAGAAAGAGAGACAACCAAATGTTGGAAAAGATGTGGAGAAAAATGAAACTCTCATATGCTTTACTTGGTAGATTCTGTAAAACTAAATGTATAAATAGTTTATGACCCAACAGTTACTCTTTTGGGTATATAATGAAATGGAATGTGTATATATGTGCACCAAAAGGCATGTGCAATGATGGATAGAAACACTATTTTTAATAGCTAGAATTGGAAACAACCCAGAAATGGCCATCAGAAATAGAGTGGATAAAATACATTGTGGTGTATTTATAAAATGGAATGAAGAGGAGAACTGAGCATGAATGTTATATGCAACCACATGGATCCATATTACAAGCATAATGTTGAATGAATGAAACCAGACTCAAGAGCAAATTTTCTGTGTGATTCCATTTATCTAAAGTTCAATATTAGGCAATGGTGATCTAATAATAGTGTTAGAAGTCAAGTTTCTTGTGGCTATTGCAGGCTCAGGAGTGCATATGGGAGTTGTGACTGGGTGTGGGAACATAAGAGCGTTTTGGAGGACTGGTGATACTTTGTTTTTGATTGGGTGCTGCTTACACAGCAGTGTTCATTTTTTGAAAATTCATTAAATTATACTTGTGCAATTTTCTATATGTATGTTATGCTTTTAATAAATGTTTCCTTGGAGAAATACATGAAGAATAGTTTAAGAAGGTTAAACATGCCTAATAGCAGTTCCAAGAAAAAAGGAAAGAAAATGGAGAAGAGATGCACAAAATAATCTTAGTTGAGATTGTCCCAAAATAAGTGAAGACCTAAAGTCTCCAGAATTACAAAAAATAAAAATAAAAAAAAAAGAAAAATAATTCAAATGTCTATGTCAAGAATAGATCTAAGTACTATAGAACCAATAGACAAAAACAGCTTCCAGGAAGCTAGATAAGAACCAAAGCAAAATACAAAATAAAATATATAACATGCCTATTGTAATAAATAGAAAAAAATAAAGCAGAGAAGGAAGCTATCACAGGTCTGAGGAACAATATTGAAATTTTAAATGGGGCTTCTGGGGAAAACCCTACTGAGTATAAAGGGATATAATATAGGGGTGCAGATGCAGGAAAGTGGGTGGTTGTACTAGTGGGGGGTTGATGGAAGAGGAGAAAGTGGAACTTTCTTCTATAACCACTGTAGCTAATTCTCTGTAGTTAAACTATAATTCAATTACTAATTACCTGATTGTGATGTGAATGGCCTAGTGTTATAACTCTGTAGAGCTTTAGTAAGTGAAGCATAATGTTGCTTCTACTATCATTCTCTAATTATTTGAAAGAGTGAAATATCCAAGAAACATAGCAAGACTGACAGAGAGGAAACAGAAAATGCTTCTCTGTAGTACATGTGGATAGAGTTTATGCAAATAAACTCGGTGATTAGAAGGACCCAATCAACACACTAATATAGATTTTACAAAACTCGAAGTGAAAAATAAATCTGAAGCCATCTAAAGTAGAAACTGACATTGTTAAAAAGAGGCATCCTGGCCGGGCACGGTGGCTCACGCCTGTAATCCCAGCACTTTGGGAGGCCGAGGCAGGCGGATCACGAGGTCAGGAGATCGAGACCATCCTGGCTAACATGGTGAAACCCTGTCTCTACTAAAAATACAACAAAAATTAGCCGGCCATGGTGGTGGGCAGCTGTAGTCCCAGCTACTGGGGAGGCTGAGGCAGGAGAATGGCGTGAACCCGGGAGGCGGAGCTTGTAGTGAGCCGAGATCACGCCACTGCACTCCAGCCTGGGCGACAGAGCAAGACTCTGTCTCAAAAAAAAAAAAAAAAACAAAAAAAAACAGGCATCCTTTGAATTGCATGATACTGGATTGAATAGAGGACTTCTGTTTCTAGGGAAGATGAATTGTAACCAGAATATTAGCGAAAGAGAAGTTGACCACTTGAATGTCTAGAAAAGTGACTTCATGTTTACAGTTTAAATTTTGTTTCAACACTTATTTTGAAAAATCCAAATGTTGAAACACTAATTGTTAATATATTGTATCATTTGCACTCTTCCTTTCTGCCTCTTTGTGTGGGCGTCTCTCTCTCACACAGTGATACACATATATTTATAAATTATTATTATTATTGGAGAATATATTCGTAGGAAATTATATATTGTGTAACCGTTTGAATCTACCAGATATAATAATTTTTACCTTCAAATACTTTCGCATGTATCTCCTAACAATGAAGATAATTTTCCTCTGTAACCATAAAACATTATCAAATTCAGGAAGTTTTTTATTGTTACATATTATTATCTATAATATAGTCTTTATTTTACTTTTGCTAATTGCCCTGATAATATTCTACACCCAGAATTATCCATTGAATTTAGTTATCATGTTCCTTTAATATCCTTTAATCTAGAACACTTCCTCAGTCTTTCTTTGTCTTTCAGGGACATCAACCTTTTTGAAGCTATTTGGTATGATTAGTTTCAGTATTTGTTGATTTTCTGTCCTAACATGTCTGTATCTAATCAGAACTACAAAAGTTAACAGGTCATTATCCTCTCATCCTTCTTTGACAGGGAACAATGTAATGATTTTTTTAAACATTTCCATTGTGCTTTGAAAAGGCATTAATCACTCCAGGGGAAAAATATATTTAGTTACTATTCAATCAAACGTATGAATTAAATCACTTTAATAACCTCTTGTGACTGAAAAGTTTTAAGCAATGTGTTTTTCTTCACATAATGAATATATACTATATATTTATAATTTCAGTGAGAATTATAAACCATGGAAAATTAGAATATATTCATTTTGCCTTTCATTTCATTATGAGTTTGAGAAAGAAAGCATAGCTCTTTAACATTGTATTGATTTTACCTCAATTATAATTCATATTTCAAACTCATTCATCATAATTTCAACGAAATGACAAATGAATTGTTCTTCAGTTCATATTAATTTTAAACCAATTTTGCATCCATAGAACACAGAATATAAAAATTCTAAGTGGACATTAGGCTACTCTTTGCTGCAGACAAGTACTTTCAGATACTTTTGTATTCTGAAAGCTACAATTTGAACATGGTTTCAATGAAGATCAAATACACTTAGGAGCCATCTCGTATTCATTCCTATTTTCAGGTGAAAAATGCTTTGAATACCAAATATCTGTTTTCATCTCTCTAGTAAGAACGCTAGTCTTTTTACTTCTCCCACTTGCACATGATTTAAGAGAAAGTACGTTGTTAATTGGAAAATGTTTTTGCATAGTTATGAACCTCTGATTATGTGCTGTCATCCATATCACTTTATTTTTTTCACCTAACAGTGCAATGAGTGTTAAAGTTTAGTTCTTTCATCACTGCCACCTCTTCATCATGGTTATTTAAGCCATTAAATTTTCCTCTAGGTTTCTTTTAACATCACCCCATTCCTCAAATGCTCTGCAGTTTAAAATTTCATGCTTAAGTTCCAGATTTTTAGTCTTTTCCAAACCCAAGCTGTCTCTTCATATACTTATTCTACTTTCACGTATTATTTGCAGCAATGGTGATTTTAACCCTTTATTTTTTGTTGCAAACTGTTAAAAGACAAACTTAGGCACATTAAAATGTTAGAGGTTTTTTTTGTTGTTTGTTTTTTGTTTGTTTTGAGCAAACAGTGATTTGGGAATTGGGCAGCACAACACCAGAAGTGGTTCAGAACTCCACCTAGGGGGTGTGAGGTGAAAACTTATATAAGGTGTTCATGGAAGCATGACAATGAAAATATTTGCTTGGCTAAAGGGGAATGTTCCTAGTTAAATGTTAATTGGTGGCCTATGCCTAGTTAAGCTTCAGTCTTGTTTCACTGTTTACACTGAGTTGGGTTTGGTTTGATTACATAGGCACTGGAGTTGCGTCAGCCTAATGGCCTCCTAATTAAGTTTTGGCAATTATGAACAAGATACCTGTAAGCATTCATGTGCAGGTTTTTGAATAGACATAAGTGTTCATTTCATCTGGTTAAATAACAAAGAGTATGATCACTGGGTCATATGGGAAGAATATGTTTAGTTTCGTTAAAATACTGCCAAAATACTTTCCAAAGTGGCTGTGTCATTTTGTATTCCCACCAGCAAGGAATAAGAGTACTTTTGCTTTACATCCTCACCACTATTTGGTATTATCAATGTTTTGCTTTTTGATCATTCGGATCAGTAGGTAGTGGTATCTCACTATTGTTTTCATTTGCAATTCTCTAATGACATATGATGTGGAACATCTTTTAATATGCTTATTTGCCATTATATAATCTTCTTTGGCAAGGTATCTATCTATTCAGGTATTTTACCCATCTTTTTTTTTTTTTTAATTTTCTTTTTTTTTTTTTTGAGACGGAGCACTCTGTTACCCAGGCTGGAGTGCGGTGGCGCGATCTCAGCTCACTCTAGCTCCAACTCCTGGATTCACGCCATTCTCCTGCCTCAGCCTCCTGAGTAGCTCGGACTACAGGCGCCTGCCACCACACCTGGCTAATTTTTTGTATTTTTTAGTAGAGATGGGGTTTCACCATGTTAGCCAGGATGGTCCTGATCTCCTGACCCCGTGATCCACCCGCCTCAGCCTCCCAAAGTGCTGGGATTACAGGCATAAGCCACCGCTCCCGGCCCCATCTTTTATTTTCTTATTGTTGAGTTTTAAGACTTCTTTGTATATTTTGTATAACATTCCTTTGTCAGTAATATGGTTTGGCTCTGTGTTCCTACCCAAATCTCATGATGAATTATGATCTTCTGCATTGGAGGAGGGGTTTGGTGCTTGGTGCTTGGTGGGAGGTAACTGGATCATGGGGAGAGGTTTCCTCCTTGCTGTTCTCATGATAGTGAGTGAATTCTCCCAAGATCTGGTTTTTCAAAAGTGCATGGCACTTTCCCCCTTGGCTCTCTCTCTCTCTCCCCTTCCTGCTGGCCATGTGAAAATGTGCTTGCTTCCCCTTTGCTTTCCGCCATGATTGTAAGTTTCCTGAGGCCTCCCAGCCATGCTTCCTGTACAGCTGTGGAACTCTGTGCCAATTAAAGCTCTTCATAAATTACCCCGTTTCGGGTAGTTCTTTATGGCAATGTGAGAACAGACTAATATAATCAAATATGTCTTTTACAAATGTTTTCTTGGAGTCTGTAGCTAGTCTTCTTATTTTCTTGACAGTGTCTTTTGCAGAACAAAAGTTTTTAATTTTAGTGAAATTCAGTTTGTTTTTTCATGGACTATGCCTTTGATATTGTTGTATGTAAAATATTGACACGGGAAACATTCCCTTGTTCCCCTCGCGGGGTGTGCAACAGCAGGAGTGGCTCACTTCTTCAGTGCCCCACTGCTCAAACCTCTGGGAGGAGAATGTAGATGGGCAGGTTGTGGGGCTCCAACTGCATGGCAGTGTCTAGGGGTGAATGCTTAAAGCTCCTGAAGCCTCAGTTGGGCATGTGTTACAGCGTGCTCTTTCAGTTTAACCATCCATAAGTGGCTTGTGTTTATAAGCTCAATTAGACCCTCTGCCTCATTGCAAGGACAGAGGGCTTTCTGTATCCTGGGCTTCTTGCCTTGGTGTACTGGAAGAATTATATCACATGTGAGCTTGGAGAATGAACGTAAGGTTTTATTCCGTGGAAGTAGTTCTCAGCAGATGGGAGAGCCAGAAGGGGATGTAGTGGGAAGGTGGTTTTTCCCCTGGAGTCAGGCCGCTCAGCAGCCAGGCTCTCCTCTGACCACCCTGGCAAAACTCCATGTTCTTCCATTGGTTGATGGCCTGCCAACATCTGCTGGTGTCTGCTGGTGTGTTCTTCCACTGTTGTGTTCCTCTTGACATCCAGCCGCTTGTGTCTCCTCCCACTAGGGTCTCGGGGTTTTTATAGGCACAGGTTGGAGGCATGGTGGGCCAGGGTGGTCTCGGGAAATGCAACATTTGGACACAAAAACAAATGCCTGTCTTTACCTAGGTCTGTGGACACAGGGCTGGGAGTGGAACCCTAACCATAGGCCCTGCCATTCTCTTCCCAGCACTTCCCTGCCCCACTCCTGTATCAATGTCATTGCCAAACACGTCATCTAGATTTTCTTTTGTGTTATCTCCTAGGAGTTTTCTAGTTTTGCATTTTACACTGAGGTCTGTGATCTCTTTTGAGCTATTTTTTGTGAAGGTTATAAGATCTGTGTCTAGATTTTTTTTTCTATCAATCTGTTTGTTTCTTTTTTTCACCAATAACATACTGTCTTGATAACTGTAGCTGTATAATAAGACTTGAAGTGCTGTAGTAGGAATATTTTTGCTAGTAAACAGTAGGCATGTTTTAGAACCAAATATACCAGCTTTATATAATGTTTGTTGCAGCATTCTATTTTTTCTATATTAGGAATAATTTCTAAAACATTGTCAGGAATTCTTTCTAGACAGTTTGAAAGACTTTACTGGCTTTCTTATTATATAAAACAACAACATAAATATCATCTCAGATACTTCTTTGTACATAGTCATGATATATTCCTAAAACAAAATTCTAGGCATGATATTCATTTGTATTTTCTTTTAGTTATTCTAATATTCCAGATTTTTTTTTAACATTTAAACATTTAACTTTGCATGGGCACATAACATGAAGATATGCTATATATTTATTTTTACAAATACAAAACTGATTATTCCAGTAGTGGCAACTTTTGAATCCCTTTTCTTTTTTTTTTTTTTTTTTTTTTTTTTTTTTTTTTTTTTGAGACGGAGTCTCGCTCTGTCGCCCAGGCCGGACTGCGGACTGCAGTGGCGCAATCTCGGCTCACTGCAAGCTCTGCTTCCCGGGTTCACGCCATTCTCCTGCCTCAGCCTCCCGAGTAGCTGGGACTACAGGCGCCCGCCACCGCGCCCGGCTAATTTTTTGTATTTTTAGTAGAGACGGGGTTTCACCTTGTTAGCCAGGATGGTCTCGATCTCCTGACCTCATGATCCACCCGCCTCGGCCTCCCAAAGTGCTGGGATTACAGGCGTTAGCCACCGTGCCCGGCGAATCCCTTTTCTGTTGATTGAAATGCCAGCTTATACACTAAATGCCTATTTTTAAGCCTGGCAAGCTTCTTTTTCATTAAATTTACCACCTGTTTTTAAGCTTAAGCCATGTTGTTTTAAATATTATATATTTATATTGTTTTATAATGTGTGGTACTATCTCAGTTTTATAAATCTTTCTAAGAACAATCTTGAGTTTTAGTCTCCTTCAGATCTAGGAGCCTTTGGGGAAGAGTATAGGGAGAATGGCTGCAAGGAATAACTTAGGAAGAGTTTCATTTCTTTCCTCTGCTCTACATAAAGCCTTATACCTCCACCTCTCTTCTACTTCTCTAGTGCCCAAATTCAGACATCCTAGTGTCTCCTTTTGGTCTGATTTCTATGTCTGAAACAAAGTTGACTATGCATACTTCTAAGTTTGTGCTGAGCGTGGTGCCAGGACTGAAACCTGGGACCTCTCAATACTAGTCGGACTCCAGTATATTGTTTTCAATGATACCACACTAATTCCTCATTTTTAGAGAATGGCAAACTTTCAACTTCCTGAAGTCAATATTTTTTCTTGGAAGTCATTTGGGGATGGGAAACAGGAGGCCTGAATTGACTCTCTTACCCTCCTTTCAGTCTATTGCTGTCCCTGTTATGTCAAGGAGTAATTCTTTGAAAATTTCAGCAGATCAGTATCCCATTGTCACAGGATCTTTGAGGTCTTGCTTTTCTGACCTGAAACCTCTGGCCGGTGGTGCCTTTGCCCGAGTTTTGCTCAGGCCCGCTGGGCTGGTTCTGCCCACTCAGCCTGGCAGGCTGTGCCCAGCTCACTCTACTGGCCTGGATCCCATGCCTGCCAAGGAAGAGTCAGGCGTGGAGCAGCAAAGGGTGTGTGAGCAAGTGTGGGGTCCAGATACTGCACAGTCAGACATACTGGCTGCTGTAGCAGGGTGGGCAGCTCCAGTGCCGACATGGATGTCAGCTCTCTGCGAGGCTGCAGCTGGACCAGGTGCACCACAAGCAGCTTCCCCTGCTGGCTCCAGAACATGCAGTGGCACCCGGAAGCTTGGAGATGCCAGGCACTGCAGGACCCCAAAGAGGGAGTCACAGCCCTGGCTCAGGGAGCTCCCAAGTCTGGGATCCCTGAAGGGCCACAGCTCTTCTCTCCTTTTCTTTGCCCACAAGGTGGTAAACAAGTTCATGTTTCAACCCTGTTTGTGTTCTAGCTCTTTTAACTCCACCATTCGGTGGGTTCTGAGTTCTTGCCCTGTGACCAGGAAGAATGAGGTACACAGACAAGTGGAAGATGAATAAGATGAAGAGAAGTTATATTGAGCAATAGAACGCTTGCAGGAGACCCACAGGGGATAGCTCCTTTCCACAGTCAGGGCGTTCTGATGAGTGTTCAGCTCCTAGCAGAGAGAAGACCCTGGAGTGGGAAGTTCCTCTCTGCAGGCAGGTCATCCCATTGTTTTCCCAACTCTCAGCAGAGAGGAGACCCTGGAGTGGGTTGCTCCTCTCTGCAGCTGGTAGTCCTGATGTCTCTGCAGGTCTCTGAAGCTCTCAGCAGATAGGCGGTCCTAGAGTGGGTAGCTCCTCTCTGCTGTTGGTCATCTTGACGTCTCCTGCTGTCAACAATAAGGGTTGCTCCTCTTTGTAGTTGGTTGTCCAGTTATCTGCTCAGCTCTGGCTGAGCCTGGGGCTTTTATGGGCCTCAGAGGGGAGGAAGTACATGCCAACTGGTCCATGGGCAGCCATGGGCAAGCCCAGAAGAGGCACCACAAGTTCCCACTCTAGTTTGTAGGACTGGCAGCCTGGCCCAGCCTTCAGGCCGTTCCTGGCCTAAAAAAGGTGGGGCCTCTCTGGAGACCTGCCCCATTCCACCCAGGAATCTGTCTGTCTCCACCTGTCCTTTATGGTGCCCAGGCTCCACCTGACTTTGCTCCAAAATTGGAGAAGGTGTGGAGAGCCGGGAGAAGCCAGGAAGCAGGAGCAGGCGTTTCTGAGCCTGTGAGGGCATGAGGGCCTTCCTGGGCCCCCAGGTGTGTAGGGATGCCTGAGTCTGCAGCCAGGGTTTGGATAGCTACAGCTGCAGCTGTGCTGGGGGCGGGGGGGGGGGGGGGTGGGGGCGGGGCTCCTGCCTGCTCTATGGAGCAGGAGGACTGGCTCTGCAGCTGCAGTTTGGGTAGCTGCAATGGCACCCAGGGAGCTCCTGCCTCAACTTAGCAGGGGTAGAACTCCTGCTTGTCCCCAGATCCTGCAGGCTCCATGGAGTGTGCAGTCCTGGCTGCACCTCCCTGGTGCAGCATACCTGATGGCAGCCACAGGCTGTCTGGAGCAGCTGCTGCCATCACTATTTCTGTTCTTCAACATTAACACATGATTTTCTCTAATTGCATATTTTATTAGTAATTTCTATGGGAATTTGAGTAGGAAGAATTATTGATGGCAGTAATAGAGAAAAACAATAAGATATCAGATGGAGAGTCTCTCAATTCCACTATATTTTATTCATAATTTATATACATCTGGATTTGTCTTATAATCCTTTGCAACTCTTGGAATAGATCACTCCTTTTCACTAATTCTGATACCTCCAAATATACTTTAGATCTTATTTCCTTCTGTATTTTCTGGCACATTTCACTATGTTATTTATCTCTCTTTCTCAAGTACAAGGTGATCCCTGTTGTCTTTAAATAGTTTTGAATCTTTTCTGTTAACAAAAGAAAAATAAAATTATAAAAAAGATCTCTATTTCCTATTTTTGAAACTAAACTTCTTAAAAAGAAGTTCATTGCTGTTCTACCTCCTCTCCTTTCCTCTCCTCTCCTCTCCTCTCTTCTCCCCTCCTTTTCCCTTCCTTTCTCAATATTCTGCAGTCTGGATTATATGCACTTTAATTTACCTCAACTAAATTAATTAATATCCATTTCTCTTAATATAATGGGCATATTTCTGTCCACTTCACCACTTTTCAGTAGTACTGAAATCTTAAAACCAGACAGATACATTCACTTCTCTTGGCTTTCCTAACATACCACTCTCTGACATTCTAATCTGTTTTATAGGCTTCTACCCCATATCTGGCTATGAATTTGAGAGTTCGTAAAGTCTTGACCCTGGGTCTTTCTCTTATTCTATAATCTCTCAGTAGTCTATTTGTAGATAACCTGCACATTTTCATTTTTAACCCATACTTCCCCCTCTGAACATTGGTCTATAGTGTCTTCCCTGCCTCCAGAAGGTAATTCTAACCTGAAAAACATCTTGATTAGTAATTCTTATTTAAAAATATATGTAAATAAATATTAATAATTCCCTTTGAAATTAGTAGTACACAATTATTTTAGTAGTTAAATAAGTGCATGTAGGATATTTAATATTTATACAAGAAAAACATTAATGTAAAATACAATAATGTGATTTTCCAAAAAGCAATAATATCTTAAAAACTTTGTAATAAACTTTAATGGCCTCTCATTACTTTTGTCATCACCAAAATCCTTAACATGGCCTACTTAGGTCTGTGGCACTATCCCTCATGAGGCCTATCTTGCTCCGTGCCATTCCAGGCTTATTAGCCTACTTTCAGTTACTAAAACATGCTACAGGATCTTTGCCTGTGTTGATCTTTGAGTCTGGAGTGCCTCCCCTGACCCTATTCCCCACCGTTGCCTGATTAAGTCCTATCTTTACTTCATATTTCCTTTCAATTGTCACATCCTTAATGAACCCTCTGATCTCCTTTACTTGGTCCATTCTTCTTATTTTGTCTCCATGTACCTCTTCTTGGGAGTTCTTATCAATGTTTGATTTTATATGTATTTTATGATTATCTCATTATTGGTAATAGATTTTGTGAGACCTGGGATTATGTATTTTTGGCTGACAATTTTATTATTAGATCTTTGTAGAGTGCCTGATATATAGTAGGCACCTGATGTTCACTCACAGAATAAATAAAAGAAGGAGGGAATAAGTGGAAGTTTCCCAGTTTTTCTTCTATAAATCATGAAATATTTTGGATTATGACTGAAGCTTGGGGGTAATTCTATGAATGTTGATTTTTTATTTTTTATTATTTTTCTAAGCAATCGGACTTATATGTATAATTCTCTTTAGTTCAATAGTTATTCGAAAGGCTCTCTTTAGACTTTTTAATGATTGAAGGATTACCCCACAAACTTTATTCAGTTCCAATTTTATATTTTTTCTGAAACTAATTTTTGTTCATATTATAAATAAGTATTGGTGACTTTTTACAATATATCTTCAAATTAATGTTACTTTCCTTTAGGCTACATTGTTTGCATTGGAATTGTGTTTCTGTTTGTTTATGCTGTTAAAAGAAGACATCTATGCAAAATCAAAACAATAGGATATGTGGATTGCCCTGGCTGTGTGCTCTCACTCTGATCATGGAAATACATGAAGCTGACTTTAAACCTGTAACTCTCATTCTATTACATGAAGACAGTCAATGAAAAACTATAAATCTAAGAATGCAGTATTCTCAACTTGTACTTACTAACTATGCATCTCAATTTCTAACTTTTTAATCTATCCTATTATATGGCATTCTTGTGGAGGGGAAGATTAAAAAAAGAGGATCATTGATATAGCTATGTTAGGACTAATACATATCACATAGGAGGCACTCAAATGAATACTGATTGAGTGACTTCCATTAATTTCGTTCTTTAATCAGCTCCTTTTTGCAAAAAATTTGTTGGACATTCCTCACAGCAATGGAAATCAGAGTTTGTTTTACTTTTAAAAGTTCCTTTGAAGTTTTGTCTTTCTTGATGTTTTCATTGATATGTTGAATGGTGAATGGAAATTGTCTTTATCTTGTTACTGCCTGTTAATAGTAGGAAAATAGGCAGATAATATGCATTTAACAAACATTTGTTGAAAGGATAAATGCTGAGAGAAGGCACATCTGGAAAGTCAATATCTGCTTTCATTGGAAGCAAAATTTATTTTGGGAACAAAAATTATTTGATATTAATACATGCAAAAATGTACATATTGCTTTTTTTAAAAGAAATTTTAGATTTCATCAAAGGTTTTTGCCTCTACCAAATATATATGACTTTTAGAAGAATATTTAATATGCATTAAGTTCATGACTTGTAACTTTTATATATTTTATTTTATTTTTTACTTTTGTATAGTTTAAATTATATTTATATATGTTAGCCCTAGGAATCCAAACATGTAAGATATCAATAAATGGCATTGGTAAGTTAGTTTATGTTAATGAGTTCATTATTAATTAATGTAAAATAATATTTCAAAGTTTATAAATGATACAATTAAAATATGCTATTCTTTTTTTAATATCCTCAGCTCAGTCCATTTTTAAGGCATACTGTTCTGAAGAGAACATTTAATGTAACTCTGCCAAATTCTTTCTTGATTGATAGAGAAATCACTCCTACTCTAGAACAAAAAGCCAAACAAAAACACCAAGGAGGCAAAATATAATCTACTAAATGGTGAGTGTATCAGTTCGTTCTCACACTGATATAAAGAAATACACAAGACTGGGTAATTTATAAAGGAAAGAGGTTTAATTGACTCAGTTTCACATGACTGGGGAGGTCTCAGGAAACTTCCAATCATGGTGGAAGGCATATGAGAAGCAAGTACCTTCTTCACAAGGTGGGAGAAAAGAGAGAGGGAAGAGGAACTGCCAAACACTTATAAAATCATCAGATGTCATGAGAACTCAGTCACTATCATGAGAACAGCATGGGGGAAAACACCCCCATGATCCAATTACCTCCCATCAGGTCCCTCCTTTGACATGTGGGGATTACAATTTGAGATGAGATTTCGGTGGGGACACAGAGCCAAACCATATCATTCTGTCCCTGGACCCTCCCAAATCTTATGTCCTTTTTACATTTCAGAACAAATCATGCCTTCCCAACAGTCCCCCAAACACTTACTTCAGCATTAGCTCAAAAGCCCATAGTCCAAAGTCTCATTTGAGACAAGGTAAGTCCCTTCCACCTATGAGCTTGTGAAATCAAAAGCAAGTTAGTTACTTCCAAGATACAATATGGGGACAAGCACTGGATAAATGCTCCCATTTCAAATGGGAGAAATTGGCCAAAACCAAGGGGCTATAAGCCCCATGTGAGTCTGAAAGCCAACAGGGCAGAGATTAAATCCTAAAGTTCCAAAATAATCTCCTTTGACTCCATGTCTCACATCCAGGGCATGCTGATGAAATGGGGAGGGGGCTCCCACAGCCTTGGGCAGTTCTTTCACTGGCTGGTGTTGAGTGCCTGCAGCTTTCCCAGCTGCAGGGTGCAAGCTGTCAGTAGACCTACTATTCTTGGGTCTGGATAAGGGTGGCTTTCTTCTCACAGCTCCACTAGGAGATGCACCAGTGGGGACTCTGTGAGGGGGCTCCAACCCTACATTTCCCTTCCACACTGCTCTAGCAGAGATTCTCTAAAAGGGCTCTGACCCTGCGAAAGACTTCTGCCTGGACATCCAGGCATTTCCATACATCCTCTGAAATCTAGGCAGAGGTTCCCAAACTGCAATTCCTGACTTGTATGCACCCTCAGGCCCAACACTACATGTAAACCACCAAATCTTGGAGCTTGCACCCTCTGAAGCAACAGTTTGAACCATACCTTGCCCGTTTTAGCCAAGGCTGGAGCTGAAGCATCTGGGTCATAGGACACCATATACTGAGGCTGCACAGAGCAGTGGAAGACTTGGTCCCAGCCCACAGAACCATTTTTCCCTCCTAGGCCTCTAGGCCTGTGATAGGAGGGGCTGCCACTAAGGTCTCTGACATGCCATGGAGACATTTTGCCAATTTTCTTGGCAATTAACATTTGGCTCCTTATTACTTATGCAAATTTCTGCAGATGGCTTGAATTTCTCCCCAGAAAATAGATTTTTCTTTTCTACTACATGGTAAGGCTGCAAATTTTTCAAACTTTTATGCTCCACGTGCCTTTTAAATGTAAGTTCCAATTTCAGATCATCTCTCTCAAGTTCAATGCTCCACAGATTTCCAGGGCAGGAGCAAAATTCTGCCAGTCACTTTGCTAAAGCATAGCAAGAGTAATCTTTACTCCAGTTCCCAATGAGTTCCTCGTCTCCATATGAGACCACTTCAGCCTAAACTTCATTGTCCACATCACTATCAGCATTTTGGTCAAAACCATTTAACAAGTCTCTAGGAAGTTCCAAACTTTTCCTCATCTTCCTATCTTCTTCTGAGCCCTCCAAACTGCTCCAACCTCTGCCTGTTACCCAGTTCCAAAGTTGCTTCCACATTTTCATGTTATCTTTATAGCAGTACCCCACTTCTTGTACCAATTTCCTGCCCAGTCTCATGCTGCTATGAAGAAATACCTGAGACTGGGTAATTTATAAAGGAAAGAGGTTTAACTGATTCACAGTTCAGCATGGCTGGGGAGGCCTTGGGAAACTTACAATCATGGTGGAAGGCGAAGGAGAAGCCAGTACCTTCTTCACAATGTGGCAGAAAAGACAGAGGGAAGAGGTACTGCCAACACTTATAAAACCATCAGATCTCATGAGAACTTAGTCAATGTCATGAGAACAGCACAGGGGAAACCGTACCCATCATCCAATCACCTCCCACCTGGTCCCTCCCTTGATACATGGGAATTGCAATTTGAGATGAGATTTGGGTGAGAACACAGAGCCAAACCATATCAGTGAGTATACCTGTCCTCCCTAAGTTATATGGTTACTACATTTTTATAATCCATAAGTTAACTGCCATACACAATCTGTTGGTCAGAATATATTTTTCTGTCCTCAAAGCAATATATTTGTATCGCTCTTCTAGAAACTGGTTGTGTTTATGGCTCCAAGGTGTAATTAACAGATTATAATAGAAGACAATCTGTGTTCCTCTAGAGATAAGTTCTAATCTGGTCAAGAATAGCCAGTACATGATCCTTACATTTTTATAAAGTCTGTTTTTCATTTGCCTTTAATAACAAGATAAAATAGTTACCTTAATCAGGTGAGTTGCTTTTTAATTAACCTATCTTTTTAATACAAATAAATTTCTGTAATGTTATGCTTTAGTCAGTTGTTGTAGGATTATATCTTATTTTAGCATGTAGACTTTTTTAGTTAAATTGCATTATCAAGCAGTTTTGAATTAAAAGTTGGCATGTTTATATGAAAAGTTAATATATATTGAACTATGGGTTACACACTGAATATATAATAAGGACTGTAACAGTGGCTTAGACTTCAAGGTTTTTGTAAGATAAGACTGGATTTGAAAAATTGGATGTTATTATTTCCCAGAAAAAGATTCCTTTTCTTTTCAGTATCCACACCATTAATTGGCTTTGTATTTCAGGAGGAAACTACTGAGATTATATTAATTCCTAGGGAACTAGATTCTAAACAGAAAATTATTTGCTAAAGTAATAAAATATAAAGTTTAATATCTGATATATCATTAACCTGCTTATTAGAGTAGTAGATCAAATTCATATAGATGCCATCAGTTTATTCATGCCATAGACTATTGCTGTCCATGATGGTAGCCACTAGCCACATGTGACTATTTGGCACTTGGAATATGGCTATTGCAAACTGCAATGTGCTGTAAGTCTAAAATGAATACCAGATTTTGAAGACAGTTTTAGAAAAAAGTGTAAAATATCTCATTAATAATATTGTGTATTTATTACATGCCAAAATGATAATATTTAAGGTTTACTGGATAAAATAAAATATACTATTAAGATTATTTTTGTCTGTTTATTTTTACTTCTTATGTGGTCGTTAGAAAAATAAAATTACTTTTGTGGCTCAAATTATAGTTCTATTAGACAGTGCTGGTCTAGAACATTCATAATTTAGAATAGTTAATTCATCAGTAGATTGTATAGAAAAACAATGTGTACAATAATGTCAATTTTAATTTCGTCTCACAAATTATACTTTTGCTTCTATTATATATCTTGTTATGGCAGAGAGAAATAGTCCATTGACTTTACTTATAATCTTTATTAGTTATCAATATGTAGTACATTCTTTACAAGGCAAAGATTTTTAAATGATTTTATTTAATTTAAAACCACAGCCTCAACTTATTATTTTTATCATTTTCAATTTTATATCTGTTGACTCCACAATAGATTATTATCATCATTACTTAAGTTATTATTATTATTTGAGATGGAGTCTTGCTCTGTCACCCAGGCTGGAGTGCAGTGGCACGATCTCCACTCACTGCAAGCTCTGCCTCCTGGGTTCACGCCATTCTCTTGCCTCAGCCTCCTGAGTAGCTGGGACCACAGGCGCCTGCTACCATCCCTGGCTAATTTTGCTAATTTTTGTATTTTTAGTAGAGACGGGGTTTCACGATGTTAGCCAGGATGGTCTCGATCTCCTGACCTCATGATCCTCCCACCTCGGCCTCCCAAAGTGCTGGGATTACAGGTGTGAGCCACTGCACCCAGCCTACTTAAGTTATTTTTATTTTGATTTACCCACATATTTAACTCTTTCATTGTTCTTCTTTCCTTCTTTCATTTCTGTGCTTCTCCTTAGATTATTAGTCTTCTGTCTAATGAACTCCTTTGAATATGTATGTTTGCACAGGTTTGCTGTTGATGAGTTTTCTCAGTTGTTTGTCTGAAAACATCTTTATTTCTTTTCCCTTTTTGAAGGATATTTTTGCTGAATAAAGAAGTTCAGGTTGGCATATTTTCTTTGAGCATTTACAAAATGTCATTCTATTGTTTTCTGCCCTCTATAGTTTCTAATGAAGTGTCTTTCCTTTGAAGGTAATGTCTTTTATTTATCTGACTGCTTTTACAACTTTTTTATGCGTTAAAAAAAGTCAATTTTACTCTAATCCTCTTAGATTTTCCTACCTTCTGCCCCAATTCTCCTTGGTGTTTGTTAATACTCTGGATTGTGTGGATTGATGTCTTTCTATTGGCTCTGAAAGTTTCTCATCTATTATCTTTTCAAATATTGCTTCTTTAACATTTCTCTCTTCTCTTACACAAATGCAATTACAGATATTAAATTGTGTCTCATGTGTCTTGTATGCTCTTTTGTATATTATAGATTCTCTTTTCTTTTTGAACTTCAGTCTGTATATTTTATAATAATCTCTCCTTAGTTCAAAAATCCTCTCTTTAGCTGTTTAAACACATCTATTGCATTCTTAATTTAAATGTTAACATTTTCAGTTCTGTAATTTCCTTGGGTTATTATTTGTAAATTCCAGTTACATAGTGAGATTCTTGATCTTGCCAACAATTTTGTTAAGCATTTTATTCTTTATTATTTTAAAATCTGTGATAGATATCTCCAACTCTAATTCACCTTTGGTTCTGCTTATGTTTTAGTTTTCTGTTTTTTGATTATATCTCCTGACATGCCTAGTAAGTTTGATCAAATGTAGAATATTGCTCATGAAAAATTATAGATATAATTTGATGTTTTGTCTCATATTTTCTTCCTTCAGGGAGGATTTCCTTTAGATTTTTCTCAGGTACCTTAAATATGGGGCAGACCTACTTTTCCAGTGTGGGATTGTGCCTGTCCAGAACTGAGTTTCACATTTTTGTTAAGAGTTGATGTAATTCTTATTACCCATATTTTTAGAGTATAACCTTCTCTTATTCTAATAATAGGAAGTCAGAGATATTAACTAGAGTCCCTTCTCCAATCTTTTCTTCTTCCATCCTGGGAAACTGCCAAATACCCCGTTTTGCTGCCTATATCTTTAGCTGCTACTCTTGATTCCATTTGATATCCTGATAACCCTATACCAGATAAAATTTAGCAAATGTCTTAAGGAGGAACATGACACGATGCCAGAATTCCCTTATTCTTCTTCCTTTTTCTTTGTAATTTAGTTTCTTGACATCCTGCCTTATTAGACTACAAGTTTTATCTTTAGAGATCCCGATAAGGCCAAAGTCTCAGCTTAGGTTTTTATCCGCCTTGTGGCTGTCTTCTTGGTCTTTTGGCCTTGTGCTATTTAGAAACTAAAAGATTCCTCGAGGGAAATGTAAGGCTCACTTCAGTATTACACCTGCCTCACTATTCTCACCAAATTTCTGGCCCTTCAAAACTTGGTTGTCTGTATAGTTTTCCATTCAGTTAAATAGGTTTAAGCCGAAATAAATTCTATAGATTTTATTTGTTGCATGGACTGCAACAAGTTATTCTTTGCCATGTCTGAATTTCTTTACCAGTTTGTCAAGCTCCTTTCCTTTCAACTCTCAATTTATGAAATCCTATACCTTCAATGAATAGTTACAATTAAGAAAGAATATCTCCTAGACATGAGGTATCCTGCCATGTAACTATTTACTCATAATTCTATAAAAAGCACACACCCTTTTAAGGAAATATATTTATTAAACTTACTTGCAGATTTATTTTTTGAGAATTACCATTGTCACATTAGAAACTAAGAATATGTTATGGTTGTATGTTTCATTATTTAACTATTTTTACATGGTGTCACACAAAAATAAGCCCTTAGAAATGCTTTAGTATTCCAGGCATGCTCACTTCCATTCGAAGCCCTCTGTTAAATAAGCCTTCAGCAGGCAAAGCCAGACTAGCCCCCTGTCTAACTTTATCATTACAGATGGACACAAAGACCCAATTCTATCTTTTCTGTTTCTACACTCTCGTATTATTACCACTGAAGACCCTCAAAAAGCTACCAGAGTTGCATTCAGAATTATTCTGCATTTCAGTAAATATAATATCATTTGGAGTCTCCCTACTTTAATTAACTTTAATTAAAAACAATTTTTTTCTACAATTAGAGATAAGTTTAATGCTTGGCTGAGCTACTACACCAACTCTAAAGAAAATGAGTGAGTTAACATGTTCAAATAGCTGTTATCAGCTCTAATTATGTTTGCATGAAGAAAGAACAAGCTAGATAATAGAAGAGTATTGGATGATTGAAAATGGGGAAAGAGTAACCATCTGAATAAAAAAAAAACAAAAAAAAACATGTCATGTAGTAAAAGTGATATAGCCAGAAAAAATTCTGTGCAGTTCACAGGTTTGCCCTTGGGTCAAGCCACATTTTCTTCAACTTTTCCTAGTCATAATGGACATCAACATAAAATATTTTCATATAGGTAGTCTCACGTACCTGAAGCTTAGTGAAAAAAAAGGTATTTCTGCTAAGATAATATCTAGTAGAGCCTCTAATGTGTTACAAGTTTATTTTATAACTAAATTTGTTATAAAATATTTTTATTCTCAAAATACTTGTCAGTGGAGAAAATAGTGTATTAAATTATATTGTGAAAGTTTTAACAGGTTATTTGATTTCTATTTCTTTTTTGCTCTGTCGTAACATTTTATCTTATTAGACTCACTATTATCATGATGTAATGTCTAAACAATTGCAGAATATATACTTCTATATATGCCTTTAAGTACTCAAATCTTCAGCAGAGTCAAAAGGACAATAAATACAGAAGCCAGAATTATGACATAATATGAACTACTTGATATCAATGAGATTTAGTTAATTTGGTTAGAAAAAAAGAGTATTTTGTGAAATTTTATATCTTTTTTATTAGAAGTAATTTAACTAGAGAAGCCATCTGAAAGAATATTTTGACTTAGGTGGAGAAGTAAAATAGAGATACCACTTACTGAAATAGCTTTTCTTTTCCCACAGATATAGTCCAAAGGTAATATCTATTAATATAAACGTAAGCTGACAGTTCTCTCACAAAGAAGTACTTCCATGTTGATAATGTCCTCCATCAGCTGCTCACAGGAACATAATTGCTCTTCTAACATCTAGAGATAAAAAATACGTTCTTATATAATATTTGTTTTTTTCAGAAAATGTTTCCTGTTACAAAAGCAGTATGTATATATATTCATTGCATTCTTTCTAAGCGTGTACTACTGATGCATCCATATAAAATATAATGCTGAATAAAGACATCTGATGAAAAGCCTTTCTTTTTTACTTTAGAGTCTCATTCTCTAACCAGAGAATGCAATTACTTTCCAAATACTAGGCATGCTGAAACAAAGTGAATGATGTTATTATGCATATGTGTTATTCCCTTGACTTTTTTCTTACTCTTCATTTCTCTGAAATGCTAAAAGTAGAAAATAAAAATCATAAAAGGAATATTCAATATGTTTTACTTTGTATAACTTTTATGTGCAAATAGGAAAAAAAAGAAAAAATGATTAAATTGTGGCAATATACTGAATTATCTTCAATATCCTACATATTTGAGGAAGATGGGTAAATTCAAATATCATGTCCCAAAACTTTTGGCATTAATGCTCTACTTCTAACATGGTCTTGTAAAACAAATTAGTTGGAGATAAGGATTTATCAATAGTATTTAATGTTTCTAGAGGAGCATACCCTCTTTGAAATTTTAACAAAAGCTATGGAAACTTCAATGATGAAAGTGGATTTATGCAAGCAATCTAAAACTAACATAATTCTAAAAGATTCAAGTACTCCTGAAATTTTCAATGTGTTCTGATTTAAGAAAAGTGTATCTAAAATATCTCCATTAATGTGCCTAAAATTAATCATTCAAGATTGGAGCAATAAAACCCCCCAAAATGGCCAATAAATACTTGCTCTTCCATTGAATTGGATGATTTGAATTGAATTGAATTGGGAAAACAGCACAGAACTGGTGGTTGATGGAGAGGAGACTTTGAGCTCATCTCCTAATTACATAACCCTAAACTAACTAGTTAATCACCTAGTTCTTTGTTCTATGGCTCCAAAATGAAGCAGTTGATGTACTAGATCAGTAGATGTCAAACATAGAGGACACTTCGCAATCACCAAGTGAGGTGGTAGAATAACACAATTTTCTAACATCTAACAACTCTCCACCTAGTAGTGCCTGTATTCTGAAATAGGTCCTGAAACCTATGTTTTTCTATAGGTATTTATGTGATGTAGTTAAGCTCTAGCTACATGATCCCCAAGGTTTCTATCATCCCTATAGTATTTCTTTTGGAAATTACCTTTTTATACGTCATATAAACCATGCAAAATATAGTTGTGGTTGCAGAAAACTCAGACAACCAGGAGTATTTGAAGTGCATTACATATGTTGCAACACCCTTGCATGTATTCTTTTTTTAAAAAAAGAAAAAAAATAAAACCGTATGGGATGATTTTTACTTTCGTATTTTTAATTCTTTTCCTCTATAATATATTATGTAATATGCAAAACTTGTTCATGAATAAAGAATAGAAAGATGAAAATTCAGAATGTGGGAGAGAATTGCCAGTCAACTTTTAAGACAATGTTTTAATTATTCAGTAGAATAATTCTTATGTCTATAATCTTCTTATGTATTAACATATTCTAAACCAGAACTAGTAAAAATGCATAAATTTTCATTCTACTATTATAACAAAATAATATAAACTTCTTGTCACCTAAAAACAAAGTTGAGAATTCAATATGTGAACACTGCATGGGAAGCATAATTATTTTGATATTTTTGGAAGAGTAAATGATCTTGTTTTTAAAATGATAGCCTTTCTGTAATATTAAATTAATAATTTTAAGAGAACTACAGAAGAGATAAGCAAAAAAAATAAAATAGTAAAATAGAAAAGGCATTTTATATATATGTATATATACACACACATATATATCTCTTTGGAAAGATGAGTAAAAATATAAATAGAATCAAACAATACAAAAGACTATGAAAAAATTATATATTATTAAAAATATGAATAGGATAGAGGGTCTCAGAATATTCATTTTTCTCTGAAACAAACTTACCACAAGAAGCAAGAAATTGTTGGAAGAAATCTGCTTGGCGTCAGTGAAGCTTTCAAAAGACATTTCCTCTGTGAAAAAAGAGCAAATAATTCTGAAGCTGGAACATGTTGAGGCAAAGAAAACTCAGCTAATCGAACTAAAAATGACATTATTGATAATAGGGAAATTTAACAATTTATAAAATAAAATTGATGATGTAGCAGTTCAGCTTTAGTAACACAGAATTCACAGGGAAACAAGTAATAAAAATAATGATTAAGTTGGGATGGTTAGGAGATCCCAGGTATGCCCCATTTTGCATTCCTAACCATGTCAGTGTAGACCAGTCACTGGCAATTAACTTTTGTAAAACTGGAAGATTTCTCCTTTTTCAAAGGCTTGGAACCAGAGATCCCAAGGGAGATAATGATTTAACCATTCTCTGAGAATGTATTCTGCAGAACACAGTGATTGCTTCAAATTAGAAAGATTGAAAGGGATGGCTAATTTCCATAACTTTGACAAAAATGTTTGTAAAAATACTGAACAGCTGCCTTCTTCAGCTCAAAATTCAACACAACTAAAATAGTATTATACTGATCCATTAAAATTTTTTATGCCCAGTATGTTAGTCTGTTTTGCATCATTATAAAGGACTATCTGGACTGGATAATTTATAAAGAAAAGGAGGTTTATTTGGCTCATGGTTCTGCAGGCTGTTTAAGAAGTGTTGTGCTAGCATCACCTTCTGGTGAGTCCTCAGGAACTTACAATCATGGCAGAAGGCAAAGGGGTGAGAGGTGACAGCGTGCTGGCAGCCCTTGCAGCCCTTGCTCACTCTCAGCACCTCCTCAGCCTTGGTGCCCACTCTGGCCACGCTTGAGGAGCCCTTCAGACTGCCGCTGCACTGTGGGAACCCCTTTCTGGGCTGGCCAAGTCTGGAGCCAGCTCCCTCAGCTTGCGGCAGGTGTGCAGGGAGAGGCACAGATGGGAACCAGGGCTGTGCATGGCGCTTGAGGGCCAGCATGAGTTCCGGGTGGGCATGGGATCAGCGGGCCCCGCACTCAGAGCAGCTGGTGGGCCCCACCGGCCCCCGCCAGTGATGGGCTTAGCACCCAGGCCAGCAGCTGCGGAGGGTGTGCCAGGTCCCCCAGCAGTGCTGGCCCACCAGCACCACGCTCAATTTCTTGCCAGGCCTTAGCTGCCTCCCCATGGGGCAGGGCTCAGGACCTGCAGCCCACCATGCCTGAGCCTCCCCAATCCCCCGCCGTGGGCTCCTGTATGGCCCGAGCCTCCCTGATGAGCGCTGCCCCCTGCTCCACAGTGCCTGGTCCCATCAACCGCCCAAGGGCTGAGGAGTGTGGGCGCACAGCACGGGACTGGCAGGCAGCTCCACCTGTGGCCCCGGTGCGGGATCCACTGGGTGAAGCCAGCTGGGCTTCTGAGTCTGGTGGGGACATGGAAAATCTTTATGTCTAGCTAAGGGATTGTAAATGCACCAATCAGCACTCTGTCTAGCTCAGGGTTTGTGAATACACCAATCAGCACTCTGTATCTAGCTGATCTGGTGGGGACTTGGAGAACCTTTATGTCGACCTAAGGGATTGTGAATGCACCAATCAGCACCCTGTGTCTAGCTCAGGGTTTGTGAATGCACCAATCGGCACTCTGTATCTAGCTCGAGGTTTGTAAATGCACCAATCAGCACTCTGTGTCTAGCTCAGAGTTTGTAAATACACCAATCGACACTCTGTATCTAGCTAATCTAGTGGGGACATGGAGAACTTCTGCGTCTAGCTCAGGGATTGTAAATGCACCAATCAGCTCCCTGTCAAAACGGATCAATCAGCTCTCTGTAAAACAGACCAATTGGCTCTCTGTAAAATGGACCAATCAGCAGGATGTGGGTGGGGCCAGATAAGAGAAAAAAAGCAGGCTGCCGCAGCCAGCAGTGGCAAGCCGCTCGGGTCCCCTTCCACACTGTGGAAGCTTTGTTCTTTTGCTCTTTGCTATAAATCTTGCTGCTGCTCACTCTTTGGGTCCACACTGCCTTTATGAGCTGTAACACTCACCGCAAAGGTCTGCAGCTTCACCCCTGAAGCCAGCGAGACCACGAACCCACCGGGAGGAATGAACAACTCCAGATGCGCCGCCTTAAGAGCTATAACACTCACCGCGAAGGTGTGTAGCTTCACTCCTGAGCCAGCGAGGACACGAACCCACCAGAAGGAAGAAACTCCCAACACACCCAAACATCAGAAGAAACAAACTCTGGACATGCCGCATTTAAGAACTGTGACACTCACCACAAGTGTCTGCGGCTTCATTCTTGAAGTCAGTGAGACCAAGAACCCACCAATTCCGGACACATGGGGAGCCAAATATAACCAGGTCTCCTGTGAACTCTTTACTGAGGGGAAAGCATTAAACTATCCACGAGGCATCAACCCTCATAACCCAACACCTCTCTCTTAACCCCATCTCCAACACTGGGGGTCACATTTTATCATGAGATTTGGAGGGAACAAATATCCAAATGGTATCACCCAGTTTTTTCGATTATGTCTAGGTACTCACTTTCTCTTTTATACCTATAATAAAATGACCTGTTGGGTTACTTAACGTGCAAGTAGTTACATGAATGAAGTTTGTGTGTTCTTTGTTTTCAAAGGGAAGGTTATAGCAATTTGATTATATAGTAAAGTTGTATGACTATGAAAAGTTTTGGTGTCTCCTCATTCAGCAGACTTGCTTTTGTTAACCAAACCAGTTTGCCTTTTCACCTAATAGTTATTTGCAAAATATGATTGAGTTATGGCCAATAAAATATGAGCAGAAATGACATATGCCACTTCCAACTTTAGCCTGTAAGCAGCTTCCAATAGTCCATTCTCTTTTTTTCCGTCTTCCAACTTAATGCAGAGGAATTCAGGGGAGTGCACTAATGAAGCACCCAGAAGCCTAAAAATGGAAGGAGGCTGTGTCATGAATGACCATTTGGATAACACCCTGGATTTTACAAGAATAAGAAATAAACTTAAGCCACTAAGATTTGAGAAATGTATGTGTTGTAGCATGACCTTAACTAATGTGCTCTAGACACTCCCATACATGCATAACAAAATGGGTCTCTACACAGGTAGGACATAAAAGCTCAGATGGTGCCTGTACCTTAAGGAATCAGACATGATAAACCAAGGGACTATATTCTGGGAGAACAGAAACAAGTTAGTCATCCCTTAGAGCCCTCTCCCTCAGAGCCACGTGTTGGATTGGAAAATATCTGTTTCAAAGTGCATTACATATGTTGCAATGCCCTTGCATCTATTCCTTAGAAAAATGATTTAGTATTCAAAGTGTACAGGCCGTACATCTTCTGTCATTTTCATGATTGAAATTAGCTGTCTGAATGTGTCTCCTCTCAGCTTCAAGAGACAGTTAACTAAAAACAAGCTAGCAACATAATTGTAAAGTGAAATATTCAGAAAATGAAATTTAATTTGTTGACAAAATTGATCATTTTGTGGAATTTTGCTAGTTTCCAATTATACCAACTGCCCTTCATTTTAAACAGCTGAGTAGGTTGGTTACTGTCACATATGTGAATGCTGTCAGCCCTCCCAAAATGAAGCCATTGATTAGAAAATTTCATGGGTGCAGGTCTTTGTATTAGTCCATTTTCATACTGCTGATAAAGATATACCCAAGAGTGGGTAATTTACAAAAGAAAGAGATTTAATTGGACTCACAGTTCCACTTGGCTGGGGAGGCCTCACAGTCATGGCTGAGGGCAAGGAGGAGCAAGTCACATCTTACATGGATAGCAGCAGGCAAAAAGAGAGCCTGTGCAGGGAAAATCCCGTTTTTAAAACCATCAGATCTCATGAGACTCATTCACTATCACAAGAACAGCACAGGAAAGACCTGCCCCCATAATTCAATCACCTCCCACTGGGTCCCTCCCACTACATGTAGGAATTGTGGGAGTTACAATTCAAGAAGAGATATGGGTGGGGACACAGCCAAACTGTATCAGCCTTTAAATTATGTTCCAACATTTATTTGTTGTTTGGAGTGGACCTTTATTTTTTACTGTATTTTAAAATACATTTATATTGGCCAGATGGGGTGGTTCACACCTGTAATCCCAGTACTTAGGGAGGCTGAGACAGGCATATCACCTGAGGTCAGAAGTTCCAGACCAGCCTGGCCAACATGGTAAAACCCTGTATCTACTAAAAATACAAAAATTAGCCAGGCATGGTGGCGCGTGCCTGTATTCCCAGCTACTCGGGAGGCTGAGGCAGGAGAATCACTTGAACCTGGGAGGTGGAGGTTGCAGTGAGCCGAGATCATGCCATTGCACTCCAGCCTGGGCGACAGAGTGAGACTCCATCTCAAAAAAACAAAACAAAACAAACAAAAAAAACCCACATTTATATTAATTTTGTTATTTATATACATTTAGATATTTCAAATATATTTACAGTTTATATTTGATTTCTATTATATTTTCCATTATATTTTTGCTCCATAAGTAAAAGTTTGTTATAGCTATTGCTTTGGCTATTCAACACATCCTTTCTCTCTCTCAGCCTCCCTCCCTTCTCCCTTCCTTCCTTCCTGCCTGCCTGCCTGGCCCTCTCTCCTTCTCTCTTTCTCTCTCTCAAATAAACACACACACACAGACAAATATCTGACAGGAGCCTTCCTCTACCACCAATTGATCTTTTCCAGTAATGTCCTCCAGTAAGTCTCCTATTTGCTTCAGCTAGTTTGTTTTCATCTTTTTCAATTGAATTATCACTATCACTTGACATTCAATTTTTTTTAGAAAATGCATCTCTTATTTGATAATTACACAACTCATTTTGATGAAGCAGTTTTATTCCCTAGGAATATTATATATGTTTATTTTTTTCTCTTCTATATTTCCAGCTTTCTGGAGGAATAATTGACAAATAAAATTGTGTATATTTTTGGAGTACAATGTGATGTTTTGATGTATGTATACATTATGAAATGATTACTACAATTAAGCCAGTTAATATATCCATCACTGGCCAGTTGCAGTGGCTCACGCCTGTAATCCCAGCACTTTGGGAGGCTGAGGCAGGGGAATCACAAGGTCAGGAGATCAAGACCATCCTGGCTAACATGGTGAAACCCAGTCTCTACTAAAAATACAAAAAAATTAGCCAGGTGTGGTGGCAGGTGCATGTAGTCCCAGCTACTCAGGAGGCTGAGGCAGGAGAATGGCATGAACCTGGGAGGCAGAGGTTGCAGTGAGCTGAGATTGTGCCATTGCACTGCAGCCTGGGTGACAGAGCAAGACTCTGTCTCAAAAAAAAAAATTATATATATATATATCTCCATCACCTCACATAGTTAATGTGTGTATGTGTGTGTGATGAGAACATTTCAGATCTACTTTCTTAGAAATTGTCAAATATACATTATCATTAACTATAGTCATGATGCTGTGCAATAGATCTCCAGAACTTATTCATCCTTTCTAACCAAAACTTTAACCAACATCTTCCCCTTCTCCATATCCTCATGATCCACTGAATACCACCTTCTTTTTAAATTAAATTCATTCATGTTTTTAATTGACAAATAAAATTGTACATATGCATTACCTTACATATTTATATTTTTTTGGTGAAAACACTTGAGTGTACTCACCTTTGATTTTTAAGAATATAATAAACTGTTATTAGCTATAGTTATCATATACAAATTGATCTCTTGAACTTATCCCTTCTACCTATATGAAATTTTAGATCCTTTGACCATATCTCCCAACCTCTCTCTTGCAGCCCATGGTAACCACCATTCTACTTTGTTTCTATGAGTATGACTTTTTAATATTCTACATAAAGTGAGATCATGTGATATTTGTCTTTCTGTGCCTGGTTTATTTCACTTAATGTAATATCTTTCAGGTTCATCCATGTTGTTGCAAATGATAAGATTTCCTTCTTTTCTAAGGCTGAGTAGTATTCCATTGTGTATACATAACCCATTTCCTTTATCCATTCATCTGTTAATGGATACCTAGGCTAATTCCATTATCTTGGCTATTGTGAATAATGCTGGAATAATCATGGGGGTGCAGATATCTCTTCCACATACTGATTTCATTTTCTGTGGATATATACCCACTAGTGTGATTGCTGGGTCATATGGTAGTTCTATTTTTAATTTTTTGAGTAATCTCCATACTGTTTTCCATAATAATTGTCCTTATTAACACTCCCACCAACAGTGTGCAAGGGTCCCCTTTTTTCTATCCTCACCAACACTTGTTGTCTTTCATCTTTTTAATAATAGCCATTCTAACAGGTATGAAATGATATCTCATTATGGTTTAAAATTGAATTTCCCTAATGATTAATGATAGTGAGCATTTTTTTCATATGTTTGTTGGCCATTTGTATGCTTTATTTTGAGAAATATCTATGCAGGTCCTTTGCCTGTTTTTTTAATTGGATTTGTTTTCTTGCTACTGAATTGAATAGGAATATTTTAAGTCGTCTGTGGTCTGTTAGTGTTACTGACCAATTTAGCCTTTGCTTAATGTGTTAATGTTAAGAATACTAAATGTTATTACAAAAGCGATTTCATGAGCAAGATGACTCATTATGTGGGCACTATCAAGATTTATGTCATTACTGTTACAGTGTTAGACTTTTCCTATATTTTCCTGGTTTATAATTAACTTCAGTGATATAAATAAATCCATTCTCTTACTCACACTAGGGCATGTTATCTAGAGTTCCCCAAGTGAGAAGCAGCTAAATTGCAAACAGGAACTAAAATTTGAATGGTCTTCCCTTGTGACTTCTAATTCTATGTCTGATTTTAAAGATACTTTTGTTTTGTTTTGTTTTGCTTTAATGGCATATTGCTATAGTATATTTCTCCCAATCAACAGCTATTAACAGTTCTGAAAAATGATTACTTACCTCTTTGAGATGTCTCCAAGATTGCTGAAAGTGTATTTTATGTGTAAAATTTTCCACTATTTAAAATCAGACCTTCCCAATGAGTATCCCTAAATTTGGCATGGGATTTACTAATAAACCTCCAGAAATGGAAAATGTAACTATGCTAAGAAATTGTAATGGCATTTAATGTAGACCATTTATATAAAAATTATATATAGAGATTGACCATATTTGTTTGTGTAGGTCAAGTATAATCCTTAAAGTTAGTTGTACCTAGAATCTCATAAATGTCACATATTAAGAAAATTTTTGAGTCATTTTTTACTCACAATTTTAATATAAGTTACATACAACATAAAATTTGCCATCTTAACCATTTTAAGTGTACACTTCAGTGGGATTAAAGACATTTATAATGCTGTACAACCATAGCCTCCATCCATCTTTATAACTTATTTTGTAACCCTGAAAGTCTATATCCAACCTTTAACCCCTGGCAACCACCATTCTACTTTCTGTCTGTATGAATCTGACTACTCTAGGTACTTCATATAAGTGGAATCATACATTTATTTGTCCTTTTGTGACTGGCTTATATCAAACAGAATAACGTCCTCAAAGTTCACCAATTCTGACATGAAATATGTCAGATTTTCCTTTTGTTATAAGGTAGAATAATTATCCATTGCATGTATATATCATATTTTGCTTATCCATAAATTCATAATGGACACTTGGGCTGCTTCCCCATTTTAGCTATTGTGAATAATGCAGCTATGTACGTGGTTGTACAAATATCTCTTTGAGACCATATTTTCTTTGGAATATATACCCAGAGGTGGATTTGCTGGATCACATAGTAATTTTATTTTTAATTATTTGAGTAACTGCCATACTGTTATCCACAGTGGCTAGACTATTTTGCATTTCCACCAGCAGTGCACAAGGGTTGCAATTTCTCCACATCCTTGCCAACACTTGTTATTTTCTGGTTATTTTGATAGTAGCCATACTATTGGGTGTGAGCTGCTATTTCATTGTAGTCTTAATTTGCATTTTCTAATTATTAGTGATGTTAATTATCTTTTCATGTGCTTATTGGTCATTCATATATCTTCTTTGGAGAAATCTATTTAAGTCCTCTGTCCATTTTTGAGTTGGATTGTTTGTTTTTTGTTGTTGAATTTTTTTACTTCTCTGTATATTCTAGATATTAATTCCTTATTGGATATATGAACTAGGTTGCTTTTTGTTGTTGTTGAGTTTTAGGAGTTATTTGTATATTCTGGATATTAATTCCTGATCAGATATATGATTTGCAAATATTTTCTCCCATCTTGTTAGTTGCCTTTTTACTCTGATACAGTCTTTAGATGCATACATTTAAAATTTTTATGAAATCTAATTTGTCTGTTGTTTTCTTTTGTTGTCTATGCCTTTGGTTTCATATCCAATAAATCATTGCCCAATCCAATGTCATGAAGCTTTTGCCCTATGAAAAATCTTGTAGTCTTTTCTACAGAATTACTCATATATATACAAACACACCCACACATGCACACACATATGTATATGTGTATATATGTAGAATTTATAGTAGGCTGTCTCCAACTTTATTTTTTTACCTAATTATTGAGAAGATAGGGAGTATGTTTTCTTCATGCTCTGTTGAAAGCAAGGTAATTAATAGAGAAGAAAGGATGCAAGTTTGGGGAAATACCTTTGAGCCAATGATGTTCAGTTGTAGGGGTTCAAAAGTTTGAATGATTATGTTGAACACAGTGAATAATAAGTTATTCTGGACAGTATTAAAAGAAATGCCACATAGAAAATAACGTCCATGAACTCATGTTATATCAATTACAACCCGTGCTTTTTCATAAGGCAGCTTCTGTAATGAGGCAACAGATTAAAATCAAATTGACATCAAGAAAACAAAACTCAGAACGCACATCTTAGTCAGGGCTCCCCTTAAAATGAACTCTGAATCAGCAAAATTGATAGACCACTAGCAAGACTAATAAAGAAGAAAAGAGAGAAGAATCAAATACACGCAATAAAAATGATAAAGGAGATATCACCACTGATCCCACAGAAATACAAACTACCATCAGAGAATACTACAAACACCTCTACGCAAATAAACTAGAAAATCTAGATGAAATGGATAAATTCCTCAACACATACACCCTCCCAAGACTAAACCAGGAAGAAGTTAAATCTCTGAATAGACCAATAACAGGCTCTGAAATTGTGGCAATAATCAATAGCTTACCAACCAAAAAGAGTCCAGGAACAGATGGATTCACAGCCGAATTCTACCAGAGGTACAAGGAGGAACTGGTACCATTCCTTCTGAAACTATTCCAGTCAATAGAAAAAGAGGGAATCCTCCCTAACTCATTTTATGAGGCCAGCATCATCCTGATACCAAAGCCGGGCAGAGACACAACCAAAAAAGAGAATTTTTGACCAATCTCCTTGATGAACATTGATGCAAAAATCCTCAATAAAATACTGGCAAACCGAATCCAGCAGCACATCAAAAAGCTTCTCCACCATGATCGAGTGGGCTTCATCCCTGGGATGCAAGGCTGATTCAATATATGCAAATCAATAAATGTAATCCAGCATATAAACAGAACCAAAGACAAAAACCACATGATTATCTCAATAGATGCAGAAAAGGCCTTTCACAAAATTCAACAATGCTTCATGCTAAAAACTCTCAATAAATTAGATATTGATGGGACGTATCTCAAAATAATAAGAGCTATCTATGACAAACCCACAGCCAATATCATACTGAATGGGCAAAAACTGGAAGCATTCCCTTTGAAAACTGGCACAAGACAGGGATGCCCTCTCTCGCCACTCCTATTCAACATACTGTTGGAAGTTCTGGCCAGGGCGATCAGGCAGGATAAGAAAATAAAGGGTATTGAATTAGGAAAAGAGGAAGTCAAATTGTCCCTGTTTGCAGATGACATGATTGTATATCTAGAAAACCCCGTTGTCTCAGCCCAAAATCTCCTTAAGCTGATAAGCAACTTCAGCAAAGTCTCAGGATACAAAATCAATCTACAAAAATCACAAACATTCTTATACACCAATAACAGACAAACAGAGAGCCAATCATGAGTGAACTCCCATTCACAATTGCTTCAAAGAGAATAAAATACCTAGGAATCCAACTTACAAGGGACGTGAAGGACCTCTTCAAGGAGAACTACAAACCACTGCTCAATGAAATAAAAGAGAATATAAAGAAATGGAAGAACATTCCATGCTTATGGGTAGGAAGAATCAATATCGTGAAAATGGCCATACTGCCCAAGGTAATTTACAGATTCAGTGCCATCCCCATCAAGCTACCAATGACTTTCTTCACAGAATTGGAAAAAACTACTTTAAAGTTCTTATGGAACCAAAAAAGAGCCCGCATCGCCAAGTCAATCCTAAGCCGAAAGAACAAAGCTGAAGGCATCACACTACCTGACTTCAAACTATACTACAAGGCTACAGTAACCAAAACAGCATGGTACTGGTACCAAAACAGACAGATAGATCAGTGGAGCAGAACAGAGCCCTCAGAAATAATGCCGCATATCTACAACTATCTGATCTTTGACAAACCTGACAAAAACAAGCAATGGGGAAAGGATTCCCTATTTAACAAATGGTGCTGGGAAAACTGGCTAGCCATATGTAGAAAGCTGAAACTGGATCCCTTCCTTACACCTTATACAAAAATCAATTCAAGATGGATTAAAGACTTAAACGTTAGACCTAAAACCATAAAAACCCTAGAAGAAAACCTAGGCATTACCATTCAGGACATAGGCATGGGCAAAGACTTCATGTCTAAAACACCAAAAGCAATGGCAACAAAAGCCAAAATTGACAAATGGGATCTAACTAAACTAAAGAGCTTCTGCCCAGCAAAAGAAACTACCATCAGAGTGAACAGACAACCTACAAAATGGGAGAAAATTTTCGCAACCTACTCATCTGACAAAGGGCTAATATCCAGAATCTACAATGAACTCAAACAAATTTACAAGAAAAAAAGAAACAACCCCATCAAAAAGTGGGCAAAGGACATGAACAGACACTTCTCAAAAGAAGACATTTAAGCAGCCAAAAAACACATGAAAAAATGCTCACCATCACTGGCCATCAGAGAAATGCAAATCAAAACCACAATGAGATACCATCTCACACCAGTTAGAATGGCAATCATTCAAAAGTCAGGAAACAACAGGTGCTAGAGAGGATGTGGAGAAATAGGAACACTTTTACACTGTTGGTGGGACTGTAAAGTAGTTCAACCATTGTGGAAGTCAGTGTGGCGATTCCTCAGGGATTTAGAACTAGAAATTCCATTTGACCCAGCCATCCCATTACTGGGTATTTACCCAAAGGACTATAAATCATGCTGCTATAAAGACACATGCACACATATGTTTATTGCGGCACTATTCACAATAGCAAAGACTTGGAACCAACCCAAATGTCCAACAATGATAGACTGGATTAAGAAAATGTGGCACATATACACCATGGAATACTACGCAGCCATAAAAATTGATGTGTTCATGGCCTTTGTAGGGACATGGATGAAATAGGAAATCATCATTCTCAGTAAACTATTGCAAGAACAAAAAACCAAACACTGCATGTTCTCATTCATAGGTGGGAATTGAACAACGAGAACACATGCACACAGGAAGGGGAACATCACACTCTGGGGACAGTTGTTGTGTGGGGGGAGGGGGGAGGGATAGCTTTAGGAGATATACCTAATGCTAAATGATGAGTTAATGGGTGCAGCACACCAGCATGGCACATGTATACATATGTAACTAACCTGCACATTGTGCACATGTACCCTAAAACTTAAAGTATAATAATAATTTTAAAAAAAGTCATGCATTAACGAAAAAAAAAAAAAAGAAAATGGTGTCAGATACAGAATTGGAATTTGAACCCATAGTTTACACAATGTGACATTATATTACACAGAAACAAACTAATACATGTATTTACTTCAAAAAAAAAAGAAATCTATTATCCATCTGTGTCTAAAAACACATTTTTCTATTTAAAAACAACTGTTATATACCAATGACTATTGTTTTAGGTAAATTTTATTAAACATCTTCTATTAACAGTAAAATGCCTAAAAGAGTTAAGTAATGTATTCATTGAAAACAATTAAATATTTTAGTCGATAATATTTACAGCTCAGCTATCTAGATAATGTAGATATCCAGAATGATATATACTCTGAAGATTATAAGTTTATCATCATGTGAGGTAGATCTAAATGATCAACTATATCCACTTTACCTTGGTACTTAAATATATAATTTTCTCTAGAGTCAAATAATAAAAGATCTGAAGTTGTATTTAACATCATTCTTAGTGGATGATATCATAGAGGAGATAAGAGTTCAGTGCTGAAAATCAATAAATGTAATCCATTATATAAACAGAACCAAAGACAAAAACCACATGATTATCTCAATAGATCCAGAAAAGGCCTTCGACAAAATTCAACAGCCCTTAATGCTAAAAACTCTCAATAAACTAGGTATTGATGGGATGTATTTCAAAAGAATAAGAGCTATTTATGACAAAACCACAAACAATAGCATACTGAATGGGCAAAAACTGGAAACATTCCCTTTGAAAACTGGCACAAGACAGGGATACCCTCTCTCACCACTCCTATTCAGCATAGTGTTGGAAGTTCTGGCCAGGGCAATCAGGCAGGAAAAAGAAACAAAGGGTATTCAATTAGGGAAAAAGGAAGTCAAATTGTTCCTGTTTGCAGATGACATGATTGTATATTTAGAAAACCCCATCGTCTCAGCCCAAAATCTCTTTAAGCTGATAAGCAACTTCAGCAAAGTCTCAGAATACAAAATCAATATGCAAAAATCACAAGCATTCCTATACACCAATAACAGACAAACAGAGAGCCAAATCATGAATGAACTCCCATTCACAATTGCTTCAAAGAGAATAAAATACCTAGGAATCCAAGTTACAAGGGATGTGTAGGACCTCTTCAAGGAGAACTACAAACCACTGCTCAACGAAATGAAAGAGGACACAAACAAATGGAAGAACATTCCTTGCTCATGGATAGGAAGAATCAATATCATGAAAATGGCCATACTGCTGAAGGTAATTTATAGATTCAATGCCATCGCCATCAAGCTACCAATGACTTTCTTCAAGAATTGGAAAAAACTACTTTAAAGTTCATATGGAACCAAAAAAGAGCCAACATTGCCAAGACAATCCTAAGCCAAAAGAACAAAGCTGAAGGCATCACGCTACCTGACTTCAAACTATACTACAAGGCTACAGTAACCAAAATGGCATGGTACTGGTACCAAAACAGAAATATAGACCAATGGAACAGAACAGAGTCCTCAGATATAATACCAAACATCTACAACCATCTGATCTTTGACAAACCTGACAAAAAAAAGAAATGGGGAAAGAATTCCCTATTTAACAAATGGTGCTGGGAAAACTGGCTAGCCATATGTAGAAAGATGAAACTGGATCCCTTCCTTACACCTTATACAAATTTAATTCAAGGTGGATTAAAGACTTAAGTTTTAGACCTAAAACCATAAAAACCCTGGAAGAAAACCTAGGAAATACCATTCAGGACATAGGCAAGGGCAAAGACTTCAGGACTAAAACACCAAAAGCAATGGCAACAAAAGCCAGAATTGACAAATGGGATCTAATTAAACTAAAAAGCTTCTGCACAGCAAAAGAAACTACCATCAGTGTGAACAGACAACCTACAGAATGGGAGAAAATTTTTGCAATTTACCCATCTGACAAAGGGCTAATATCCAGAATCTACAAAGAACTTAAACAAATTTACAAGAAAAAATCAAACAACCCCATCAAAAAGTGGGCGAAGTATATGAACAGACACTTCTCAAAAGAAGACATTTATGCAGCCAACAGACACATGAAAAAATGCTCATCATCACTGGCCATCAGAGAAATGCAAATCAAAACCACAATGAGATACCATCTCACACCAGTTAGAATGGCGATTATTAAAAAGTCAGGAAACAACAGGTGCTGGAGAGAACGTGGAGAAATAGGAACCCTTTTACACTGTTGGTGGGACTGTAAACTAGTTCAACCATTGTGGAAGTCAGTGTGGCGATTCCTCAACGATCTAGAACTAGAAATACCATTTGACCCAGCCATCGCATTACTGGATATATACCCAAAGGATTATAAATCATGCTGCTATAAAGACACATGCACACATATGTTTATTGCGGCACTATTCACAACAGCAAAGACTTGGAACCAACCTAAATGTCCATCAATGATAGACTGGATTAAGAAAATGTGGCACATACACACCATGGAATACTACGCAGCCATAAAAATGATGAGTTCATGTCCTTTGTAGGGACATGGATGAAGCTGGAAACCATCATTCTGGGCAAACTATTGCAAGGACAGAAAACCAAACACCGCATGTTCTCACTCACAGGTGGGAATTGATTAATGAGAACACCTGGACACAGGGTGGGGAACATCACACACTGGGGCCTGTCATGGGGTGGGAGGAGTGGGGAGGGATAGCTTTAGGAGATATACCTAATGTAAATGACGAGTTAATGGGTGCAGCACACCAACATGTCCCATGTATACATATGTAACAAAACTGCACATTGTGCATATGTACCCTAGAACTAAAAGTATAATAAATAAATTAAAGAAATACAAGCAGAGACACTTAGTAAACCTAAAAAAATAAAGTTCAATGCTGAAATTTATCTTCTCAGGGTTTAAATATGTCTTAAATCTGATAGCAAAATGATTTATAAAACATACACTATTCCAAAAATAAAAATTATCTTATTTTAAAATTAATCTTGTAGATTGCTTTAGAGGTCAATAGGATCTGTGTAATCTATAGGATTACGTGGAACATGACACAAGCCCGTCTTCTTAGAGAGTGGTTCTTATTTGCCTAAATTATTATTCTTTTTTAAGCCATCGTGAGACAACAAATTGAGCATAGCATTAATCATGCTGTGTTTTATGTAAGAATAATAATGTATTGCATGTTTTTTGGTAAGGGGTCACAGAGCAAATTTTTAGCAGAAAATTACTTATCCAGATTCTATGCCTAAAACTTCACTCTCCGCTAAAGCCATGACGCTGATACCTTGGAATAATTTTTCTTGAGTGTCAAATAAATGTAACTGCTGGTCTTAGAGCAACAAAGAAGTTTAACAATTTAAAACTTTGTGCAAATAGATCATTATTTTATTTTATTTAAACCACAATAAAAAAGTTTTTATTTAGCAGAAAGTTACTTACCCAGATTCTATGCCTAAAACTTCACTCTCAGCTAAAGTCATGAAGTTGATACCTCGGGATAATTTTTCCTGAGTGTCAAATAAATGTAACTGTTGATCTTAGAACAACACAGTAGTTTACCAATTTAAAGCTTTGTGCAAATAGATTATTATTTTATTTTATTTAAACCACAATAAAAGTTTTTAAATTTAACAGTTGATAAATGCTTTTTCTATTACTGTCCTTCTCAATGTAATTAATGGTATAAATTCATAGAATTTCAAGATTCAAGGAATTTTTACAACTTTAAGCCGTCAGGGTACAAATACATTTTGCAGTGATGAGATGTGGGCCAAACTGAAGAACTATGTAACATTTTTCTGAAACGGCAGACAGTGAACATAAATGCCTTTCGTATCTTCGGTGTTTTTTGTTTTTTAAAAAATACTTTTCTTTAGGCTCAGGGGTACATGTGCGGGTTTGTTATATAGGTAAACTCGTGTTATGGAGGACTGTTGTACAGATTATTTCATCACTCAGATACTAAGCCGAGTACCCACTAGTTATGTTTTCTGATCCTGTCTCTCCTCCCCTCCTCCACCCTAAAGTAGGCCCTAATGTCTGTTGTTCCTCTTTTTGTGTTCATGAGTTCTCATGATTTAGCTCCCACTTACAAGTGAGAACATGTGGTAATTGGTTTTCTTTTTCTGCATTGATTTGCTAAGGATAATGGCCTCCAGCTTCATCTATGTTCCTGCGAAGACATGATTCAATTCTTTTTTATGGCTGCATAGTATCCCATGGTGTATATGTACTATATTTTCTTTATCCAATCTGTCATTGATGGGCATTTAGGTTGATTCCATGTCTTTGCTATTGTGAATAATGCTGCAATGAACATTCACATGCATGTGTCTTTATGGTGGAATGATTTATATTCCTTTGGTTATATACTCAGTAATGGGATTGCTGGGTTGAATGGTAGTTCTGTTCTTGCTCTTTGAGGAATCACCACACCACTTTCCACATAGTCAAACTAATTTACAGTCCCACCAACAGTATATAAGCATTCCTCTTTCTCTGCAGCTTTGCCAGCATTTGTTATTTTTTGACTTTTAATAATAGCCATTCTGACTGGTATGAGATGGTATCTTATTGTGGTTTGGTTTACATTTCTCTAATGATCATTGATGTTGAGCTTTTCTTCATATGCTTGTTGGCCATATATATGTCTTCTTTTGAAAAGCGTCTGTTTGTGTCCTTTGGCTATTTTTAAATGAAGTTTATTTTTTTCTTGTATATTAGTTTAAGTTCCTTATTGATGCTGGATATTAGACTTTTGTCACATGCATAGTTTGCAAATTTTTTTTTTGTTCTATGGGTTGTCTGTTTACTTTCTTGATAGTTTCTTTGCTGTGCAGAAGCTCCTAAGTTTCATTAGATCCCATTTGTCAATTTTTCCTTTTGTTGTGATTGCTTTTTGGTGTCTTCATCATGAAATGTTTTCCCTTTCCTATGTCCAGAATATTGCCAAGGTTATCTTCCAGAATTTTTATAGTTTTGAGTTTTACATTTAAGTCTTTAATCCATCTTGAGTTGATTTTTGTATATGGCATAAGAAAGGAATCCAGTTTCAATCTTCTGCGTATGGCTAGCCAGTTGTCCCAGCACAATTTATTGAATAGGGTGTTCTTTCCCCATCACTTGTTTCTTTCAACTTTGTCAAAGATCAGATAGTTGTAGGTGTGGCATTATTTCTGGGCTCTCTATTCTGTTCCATTGGTCTGTGTGTCTGTTTTTTTTTTTTATCCTTGGTGTTTATATAAACACAATATTATAAAGTTTTCAAAAGGAAAGTCTTCCATTTATATATCTTCATATTACCCAAAATACATAGCAGAATATTTTGCATGTTACAGTAAATCAGTCAATGTATGTTCATTTGTTGAGTTAAATTTTCTCATGCCAGGTTATTGGTAACATAAGAAATGCTGCACAACAAAGTAAGATGTTTTCCCTTTTCTTTTGCTGAGGCTAAATATTACAGCAATTTGGATGAAGCCCATCAGAAAAAAAATATATATATATATAAATATTATAGCCATGGTATTGGAAATATTAGGCTATTCTCAATGTATGTATGTTAGTAGAACTTCTTGCAACTTGTACAGATGAAAAAATATTTTCATATATGTTTGCAGATGATTAAGTTAATATGTGGTCATTAGAGTAGGTCCTAATCCAATATGACTGCATCCTTATAAAAAGGGAAATTTGGATACAGAAACATACACACATGGACAACACCAAGTGAAGATGAAGGCAGAGATCAGGGTGTCTTAGTGTTCCTGAAGACAAGAAACACTGACGACTGCCAGAAAATGCCAGAAGCTAGGAGAGAGGATGGAACAGATTCTCCTTAACAGCCCTCAAAAGTAACCAACCGTGTCTATATCTTGATCAACTCCTAACCACCAGAACTACTAAACAGTAAATTTCTGTCATTTAAGACACCACCCAATTTGTGGTACTTTGTTATGGCAGTCCTGGAAAACTACTACAATATGTATGAATCATAAACAACTTAAAACTTAGATATAGCTACTTAGGCTGTATAAGAATGGATTCCATGTTTAAACTTTACAATGTGCTCCTGAGGCAAGAATACATGTTTGTGATTCAATGTCAACAATAATCTGTAGGCAATGTCGATTTGGTAAAATTAGAAGAAAAAAAGAGTCTCTATATAGAACAGGACCAGAAGTGAATATTGAAAAGAACCATGGATGAACTGGTACAGCAAAATGATCATAGAATTTTGCCCTTTCCTTGTTTCATTTTTCCACTTTTTTCCCTTTTTTCAATTTTATTAGTATTTCTTATTTTATTTGTCAACAATAAAGTGTATATAAATTATATTTTCTTATAGATGGGAGGAGGTAAAAGGAATACCTTGTTTTACTTCCAGTAATATAATTTAAAAATTTGAAAGGAATATCATTTAGATTATACATATACATTTTTTAAACTACTGTATTTAATTAGCTTGAACCTTAATTCTATACTCCATAATACCTAAGTCCTTCATTTTTTTTTTCATTTTTCTTCAATCTTCTAGTATCTCTGATGCATTTTCTATAATGTTATGTTGGGCTCTCTGGAAAATAGCCTCTGGTATGCAGTGTAACATGAAGAATGTTTTTAAGAATCTTTGAGATCAACACTCAGAACCGAGGGGGAGGAAGAAGGATTGAGCAGAAGTTGAGTAGTAATCCAAACTCAACAGCAGGCTCAGTCAATCCTAGGGGGCACTCTGGAGACAGACTGGACCTTCAGAGTCTGTCTCTGAATTGGGCTAAGATAGGTGGCCTTTATACCTTTGCATAGATCAGTCACTGGATGTGGGCCATCCCCAAATGTGTGTGACATAGTGCAAGGTGGCTCTCTGCAGTTGAGTCAATCTTTTGAAAGCACTGACTGTTCAAAGCTGTCAGTCAACATCACTCTCCACCAGCTGAAGCTGTAAGTCCTTCATTGAAAGGAACCTCAGGATTGCATTACAATGTCCACTAGATGGAAGAATGAATATCCTCCTGAGTTTATCTCACCTTACAGTAAAAGATGTTTTAATAATCTATGAAAAATTTTTTAACATTGGGATCATTTCAATTACTAGAAGAAGGATGTCATATTTAAAAATTTTGTAAATGAAAAACCATTTCATGAAAGAAATAATCATCCACTAATTTAAATTTTTAGTTTTAAGATAACCAATCTATTCCCATGTTGACTGTGCTGGAGGCAGAGTTCACCTCTATGTATAAATGTCCTCTGAAATTTTGAGTGCTAAATGATTTTCTACATTGGTGGATGTTGACCTGAACTTTCTTTTTTTTTATACTTTACTTTCTGGGATACATGTGCAGAACGTGCAGGTTTGTTACATAGGTATCACGTGGCATGGTAGTTTGCTGCACTCATCAACCCATCATCTACATTAGGTATTTCTTCTAATGCTATCCCTCCCCTAGGCCCCCACCTCCCAACAGGCCCTGGTGTGTAATGTTCCCCTCCCTGTGTCCTTGTGTTCTCATTGTTCAACTCCCACTTCTGAGTGAGAACTTGCGGTGTTTGGTTTTCTGTTCCTGTGATAGTTTGCTGAGAATGATGGTTTCCAGCTTCAGCTACGTCCCTGCAAAGGACATGAACTTATCCTTTTTTATGGTGACGTATTATTTATCCAGTATATCATTGATGAGCATTTGGATTGGTTCCAAGTCTTTGCTATTGTGAATAGTGCTGTAGTAAACATACATGTGCTTGTGTCTTTATTGTAGTATGATTTATAATCCTTTGGGTATATACCCAGTAATGGGTTTGCTGGGTCAAATGGTATTTCTAGTTCTAGATCCTTGAGGAATTGCCACACTGTCTTCCACAATGGTTGAACTAATTTATATTCCCACCAACAGGGTAAAAGTGTTCCTATTTTTCCACATCCTCTCCAGCATCTGTTGTTTCCTGACTTTTTAATGATCACCATTCTAACTGGCGTGAGATGGTACCTCATTGTAGTTTTGATTTGCATTTCTGTAATGACCTGTGATGGTGAGCTTTTTTTCATGTTTGTTGGCCACATAAATGTCTTCTTTTGAGAAGTGTCTGTTCATATCCTTCATCCACTTTTTGATGGGGTGGTTTGTTTTTTTCTTGTAAAATTGTTTAAGTTCCTTGTAGATTCTGGATATTAGCCCTTTGTCAGATGGATAGATTGCAAAAATTTTTTCCCATTCTGTAGGTTGCCTGTTCACACTGATGACAGTTTCTTTTGCTGTGCAGAAGATCTTTAGTTTAATTAGATCCCATTTGTCAATTTTGGTTTTTGTTGCCATTGCTTTTGGTGTTTTGGTCATGAAGTCCTTGCCCATGCCTATGTCCTGAATGGTATTGCCTAGGTTTTCTTCTAGGGATTTTATGGTTTTAGGTCCTACATTTAAGTCTTTAACCATCCTGAGTTAATTTTTGTATAAGGTGTAAAAAAGGGGACCAGTTTCAATTTTCTGTGAATGGCTAGCTAGTTTTCCTGACACCATTTATTAAATAGGGAATCCTTTCCCCATTTCTTGTTTTTGTCAGGTTTGTCAAAGCTCAGATGGTTGTAGATGTGTGGCATTATTTCTGAGGCCTCTGTTCTGTTCCATTGGTATGTATATATGTTTTGGTTCTAGTATCATGCTGTTTTTATTACTGTAGCTTTGTAGTATAGTTTGAAGTCAGGTAACTTGATGTCTTCAGCTTTGTTCTTTTTGCTTGGGATTGTCTTGGCTATTCAGGCTCTTTTTTGGTTCCATATGACATTTAAAGCAGTTTTTTCCAATTCTGTGAAGAACGTCAAGGGTTGCTTGATGGAGATATCATTGAATCTATAAATTACTTTGGGCAGTATGGCCATTTTCATGATATTGATTCTTCCTATCCATGAGCATGGAATGTTCTTCCATTTGTTTGTGTCCTGCCTTACTTCCTTGAGCAGTGATTTGTAGTTCTCCTTGAAGAGGTCCTACACATCCCTTGTAAGTTGTATTCCTAGGTATTTTATTGTCTTTGCAGCAATTGTGAATGGGAGTTCACTCATGATTTGGCTCTCTGTCTATTATTGGTGTATAGGAATGCTTGTGATTTTTGCACATTAATTTTGTATCCTGAGACTGCTGAAATTGCTTATCAGCTTAAGGAGATTTTGGGCCGAGACAATGGGGTTTTCTAAAAATACAATCATGTCATATGCAAACAGAGACAATCTGACTTCCTCTCCTCCAATTTGAATACCGTTTATTTCTCTCTCTTTCCTGATTGCCCTGGCCAGAACTTCCAATACTATGTTGAATAGGAGTGGCAAAAGAGGGCATCCTTTTCTTGTGCCAGTTTTCAAAGGGAATGTTCCCATCTATTGAGATAATCATGTGGTTTTTGTCATTGGTTCTGTTTATGTGATGGATTACTCTTATTGATTTGCATATGTTGAACTAGGCTTGCATCCCAGGGATGAAGCTGACTTGATCCTGGTGGATAAGCTTTTTGATGTGCTGCTGGATTCGGTTTGCCAGTATTTTATTGAGGATTTTGCTGTTCATCAGGGATATAGGCCTGAAATTTTCTTTTATTGTTGTGTCTCTGCCAGGTTTTGGTATCAGGATGATGCTGGCCTCATAAAATGAGTTAGGAAGGAGTCCCTCTTTTTCTATTGATTGGAATAGTTTCAGAAGGAATGGTAGCAGCTCCTCTTTGTACCTCTGGTAGAATTTGGCTGTAAATTCATCTGCTCCTGGGCTTTTCTTGGTTGGTAGGCTATTAATTACTGCCTCAATTTCAGAACTTGTTATTGGTCTATTGAGGGATTTGACTTCTTCCTGGTTTAGTCTTGGGAGGGTGTAAATGTCCAGGAGTTTATCCATTTCTTCTAGATTTTCTAGTTTATTCACATAGAGGTGTTTATACCATACTTTTATGGTACTTTCAAGCACTAGTAGATCGGCATGATAAAACAGCTTATAGCAACACCAAAAAACAAAACAAAACAAAAAACAAACAAACAAAAAAACTAACCTCTCACCTCTTACTACTACTATTAAAGGGAACTTAGGCTTAACAAAAAGTTATTTTAAACAACATGCCATTTTTGCCGTAAACTTCATCTTTTTTACTTTCGTTTCTCTACTAAAGTGTTTTACGTAGTTACTTCACACTACTGTGTAGGGACATCAGGTACTACCAGTGTTATAATAAGGTATGTTATATGTTCACAATTATGTGGTTTAAGCTCCCTATACATCGCTTACTGTGTTTATGAAGCTCTTAATTTGAAATCTGGTTCTACTCAGGTTTTTGTCTCCTGTATTTGGCCATTAACCATCTAGCTCCTTCAGTTTTTCTTTGTGATCAGTCTTATCCCTGAAGCAATCTATTTCTGCCTTCATTCTTTTTCTTTATTGCTAGAGAATTAAATTCTCATTTCCACCCTTTCTAAATCATAAAATTAGCTCCAAGCTAGATTCTTTCTGTGACTTGGCCATTTCTCTCTTATCGCTAAGATTTTAAATGTTTTATAAATAATCTTTGCTTATTGATCAAATTTTCTTAACCCTTTAGGACCTAAATTTCATGTATTTGTTTTCTTTGTAGTGGTAGATTTTCTGGTGCTCTGGTTTTAGCTTGTGTGTAAATACTATAAAGTTTCTGCTAGTAGATCAGCAGAGAAGGCATACAGCCTGACATGCACCAAAGTGCTTTTTTTTGCACAAGAAATATCTGCAAGTTTTAGAGTGTTAAAATAGGCCTTTATATATTTTTAAAACTGTTCCTTTTAATTCAAATATATTTTGCTTAACTCCTAGGTTTTTTTAAAAAAAAATTCTTCAATGATTCGTAAGTTTGGTCTGGCGGCTTTATTATTTATCCACCAGACAAACAATGTTTTGTTGACATAAAAAATAGTCATTCTGAAAGCCAGTGTACATTATGATTATTTTGGTCACAGCCAGAGAGTTTGTCTTAAATACAGTTTTATTGTGTGAAAGAGATATATGGTGACAGATATAATATTAATTTAAATGAAAATATAAGAAAATATTTCTTTTTTTTAAATATAGTAGTTTTTTTTTCTACTAGCCTACTGAACCCAAATTATTAAGCCATTCTTTACTGTGTGTTTGATTAGTTACTATAATATAAAAAATTGATTCATGAAATTAATTCAGCAAAGTTGCAAGACATTAGTTCAACATACAAAAAAAAGTTGTAATTCTATATACTAGCAATGAACAATCCAAAAAGGAAATTAAGAAAACAATTCCATTTATAATAGCCCAAAAGAATGAAATAGAAGGAATATATTTAACTGCAAAGTTACAAGACTTGTGCATTGGCAACTAAAAAACACTGCTTAAAGATATTAAAGAGGACTAAATAAATGGAAAAATATATTGTGTTCATTGATTTGCAGACTTAATATAGTTAAAATAGTAATATTTTCTAAAACAACATACAGATTTACATAATCCATTTCAGACTTTCAGTGACCTATTTTTTGCAGAAATAGAAGAGCTTATTCTAAAATTCATATGGAATTGCAAGGGATTTCAAATAGCCAAAACAATCTTGAGAAGGAAGAATAAACTTACAGAACTTCATTTGTTAATTTCAAAACTTACTACAAAGCTACAGTAATCAAAAGAGTATGGTATTGACATAAGGACAGACATATAGACCAATGAAATAGAATTGAGAATCTTTGAACAAACCAATACCTGCTCAATTGATTTTTGACCAGGGTGCCAAGAAAATTCAATGGGAAAAAGTAGTCTCTTTAAGAAGAGGCTATTTGGTGTTGGGACAATTTGATACTCTCAAGCAAAAGAATGAAATTGAAGCATTTTTCATACAACATACAAAAGTTAAGCAAAAATGAAACAAAGACCTAAGTGTAAGAGCTAAACCTATAAACTCTTAGATAAAACAGAAATAAACATTCATGACCTTGGATTTGAAAGTCTTAGATATGACACCACAAACACAAGCAACCAAAGAAAAAATAGGTAAATTGGACTTATTCAAAAATGGAAACATTTGTACATTAAAGGACAGTATCAAGAAAGTGAAAAGACAACCTACATAATATGAGAAAATATTTGCAACTCATATATTTATATAGGGTATAATATCCAAAATACATAAAGAACCCTCACAACTCAACAACAGAAAGACAAATAATCCTATTAAAAATTGGGTGAAGTACGATGGGGGCTCCAGAGTAGGACCAGTACTGCTCTGATAGTGTACTGGCCCTAAAATAGCATGTGGTTTATCTCCCAGGGGACTGGTGGAGAGGGAGCTATATTGTTGCAGGTATGCATGACACTTTTGTAAAGTGGAGGCCTGGTCAATAGCTGAGGCAGACCTGGCAAACAACCCTTCTATCCACCCTTTTATAGGCAGGCCTGTTTTTACTGTTACCAGTAAAGCAGCAGTTGTGGGTTTAACTTGCTGCAAGGCTTGTGTACTCCTAGGATCTGTTGCTCAGTTGGGGAATAGTGGATTTTAGCCTCCTTCCATAGTTGTGATCAAAATCCTTGGGGAACTTCTTTCCCAATGATGGACTTGTCAGAGGGCCCATCTGGTTCATTCAGGAATAATGATCCCATTTGAAGACATTGATATTCCAGGAAGAGAGGAAAATAAGACTTTTCCCTGAGTCACTAGTAAATTAGCCTTCTCAAATGCTTCCTCATGTTTTTTATTCCAGCACCCACTAGATCCCTGTTCTACTAGTTGGTATAGAGCTAAATGTAGAAGGAAAGCCCACCAGTATCCCAAAAAACCTAGGAAACTTTGTTACTATTTAACTATTTTAAGTATGAAAAATTGTTGTATTTTTTCAGTTACTATGCTTGAGATAAGGCATGTCTTACCTGACTAAGTGACCCCTAGGAAATTCACAGCTTGTCCTGGGCCATATATCTTTTGTGGTTCAATGGCCCCTCCTCTGGATTAGAGAAGAGTACACAAGGCATGAAGGTGTTGCTGTAGCAATGACAAGTCTTTGGAGGTTAGCATAATATCAGCAATATAATGAAACTATTTAACAGCATGTGGCAGTGGACTGCAAGTTAAATCTCTAGCAATTATTCCACGACAAATAGTGGGCAAACATTCCACGATAACCCTGGGGCAACACTTGGAATGGCCATTGATGGCCACTCCAAGGAGAAGCAAATTAGTTCTGTGAGTCAGTGTATAAAGGGTTGGTAAAGAAGGCATTAGCTAAATCTACCACAGCACAAGTTAATGTGCATTATTCACCTGTGTCCACTAAAGCTAAGCTTTTCTGCTTGTTTTTGGACTCCAATAGATTTTGGATGCCACGTGGGGCCTCCGGTTGCCTCCTACTGCTCACACAGGAAGGCAACCTTGGCCCCAACCCTAATCTGTAATCTGAGGAGGAGTACACCCCTGGAACACAGAGATTGAGGTTCTTTTAGGTATAGTTTCTTTTGCTCCTTCTACCTCTTTTTTTTTTGATGGGGCACTAGTAAGGAGGTTAAACTGTTCATCAGGAGTTGGATCTTTCCAAAGGCAACTAATACTGCATTTGGTTGATCTATCCTTTCTTTGTCTATCCAGGAAGAAATCAGATGATACCATATTTGTTTACTAGTAATTCTAACTGCACATTTTTTACCTCCCTTTTTTGGTCCAGCAGACTCTATTTCTCTCCTTTTCCCTTTCTCTTTAATGACCAGTTGGACCTTATCTCTTCCTTTTCCCATCTTTCCAAGATCAGCTATGGCTTCTCCCATATTATATTCATCTTGTCCCACAAGAGGCCTCAAGACGGATATGAGAGGGTCATGCCACTCCCAGGGAGAATTTTGTAACAATTTGATTTTCTACATGAATGTTAGCAGCAGTATTCATATTCATACTCATATTCAGGCAAAAGATGGAAACAACACAGATGTCAATGAACTGATGAATGGATAAACAAAATGTGGTATATCCATACAATAGAATATTATCCAACCGTAAAGTGGAATGAAGCACTGGTGCATGCTATAACACGGATGAACCCTGAAAACATTATGCTAAGGAAAAGTTTAAGACAGACACAAAAGGTCACATATTGTATGATTCAATTTATATGAAACAGCTAGATTAGGCAAATCCATTGAGATAGAAAACAGATGAATGATTTCCAGGGTTTGGGGATAAGGAGGAAAGAGAAGTGATTACATAATGGATACAGGATTTATTTTGGGGTGACGAAAGTGTTCTGGAAATGGATAGTGAAAATCGTTGTTCAACATGGTGAATATACAAAATGCCACTGAGTTGTACACTTTAAAAACGTTAAAATAGTGAATTTAATGTTATTAGTCAACCTTTGAGTCTCAACTGAAATTTTGGGCCTTAGGCTGTAAGGTCAAGGTGGCTGGCCAAACAGAAAAAAAAAAGAAAAAAAAAATTCAAAAAAAAATGCAAAATTGATCATTTACATTCTTTTAAAGTTTAGTTTCTCCTTAAAGTAGAAGCTTCTTGCCAAACATTTGCAATGGGTGTGATTTTATCTTAAAATCCAAGTAAAAGAACATTTGAGGACTCTTCCCCTTTTATTACATATAATAGCATATGATGGTAATCAATTTGCTTGTTCTTTCAGAAAGTTATTTAGCTCAGTAGATACTAAGAGCTGCCACCAAATAAAAAAAATTCTATAATTGATTTAAAAGCAGTGATTTGGATCAAACAATTAGGTCTAATTATTGCATTTATTTTATTAAATTGTAAACTTACTAAAATAACATTGGCGTATTCTCTGTCATAGATTTGTGGCAGCTGTTTCCACACTTGTTACTCCCCCAAAAATAATTTCTATTGGTCTTTTTGCCAGTAGAATCCTAGACCTGAATGACATCAATTTAAATAGGTTATCACACTGATTCTAAACTCTTCTACCTCACTGTAGTAAAACCTGGTCCAACTCAAAGAGGCCACATCTACACAGCAGCTTGCCTTGAAAGTGCAATCATGCTCTCTAAGCACTGGCAGCACAATCATTGATTTTAGAATCAATGGGACACCAGGGTCACACTGGATGTCTGCTTGGCAGCCGGAAAATGGGTTAGAACATTTTAAACTTTATAAAATCAAAGGAGGTAAACATTAAATTACATAAAGTCATATCTATTTTGGCTGCTTGTATCTTAGAAGTCAGCTGAAAACAGACATGAAATATCCAACATTCAACTTCAGGAATTTGAGAACTAGCCAGCCATCCCTGACCTTGTAGTCTAATGCCCAATTCCAGTTGAGAGCCAAATGTTGATTTCTGCTAAATAACTCTTTTTTAGATATTTCATTTTGAAATTTTTATCAGTTTTCAAAAACTGGAATCCTGGGTTGCAGGCTGAAATATGAGCGTATTCCCTCAAAACACTCACAGCAAAAAGCCCAGCATTGTTTTATAAGCAACAACTTGACAAATGCTGAGTTTATAGCTGTGATAGTAGGTAAAATATGCTTGGTGGAATAAATGCCAAGTGGCAGTTTGATCTCATAATTAAGTGACAAGGTAGATATATTAATTTTTTTCAAATTCATATGGATTTAGGTGAGATTATATTAAGTAACAGAAAATTTGTTCTTTAAATTTTTTCTAAGCAACTCCTGGCCCCTCCATTGATGCTTTTAACTGGATTAACTTGTGAAAATAGTGGCAAAGAGTAAAGAATATTTGCCCTTAGTCTTTGTGACATAGTTTAGGAGAGTCAATTTTAAGTTACAATGTATTTTATTTTACTTTTGTAGACATCTCTAACCCTGAATAGCTAAAATTCTAACACACTGTACGCAATTTGTACTTAACTTTCTTTGTGGCTTTAGTTTTTTTTTTGACAGATGGCTGCTGCCAAGAATCAGCTTGGGTGGGGATCTAAAGTTCCAAGAAATGTAAGAATGTGCGTGAATAGCTGATATCCCTTAGGTTTTTTTCCTGCACTCCAAATGATAAACAGAGACCTGAGCCAGAGCTCCTGCCTTCTGCGTTGGCCCTTACCAATGATGGCTTTGTCTCTTGACTGAGTCCCAGGTCCCCAGTCTGTAAATCAGACATAATTTTGTTTGTCATCTCCTTTACTTCACCAAGGGATTTTAAGGCTTGCAAAACCACATAGCATTTGACAATACAAAATGCTATGGTAATGGTTAAAATGAAGAATTACCGAGTCCTGCCAATGAGTAATCTACTCTCAGGGAGTAAGTTAAGCATCTGGGATGTGAATTAACTCTCTCCTCCCGTCAGGGCACCATTTTTAGCTGAAGGCTGGAGGGTATAAAAACGTATATTATTCCTACATGAGGCCAAAATACTTCTGCCCTTCCCACTATACTAACATTTTATAACTAAAAATTTACAAGGAGATACTAGACAGTCTTGGCAAATTCTAAAAATTAAGTCTAGAAAATTATTATAGCTTAATATGTAATTATTGAAGCAATCTCCAATGTTTATTCGTTTAAAATAAAATAAAATAAAATAAAATAAAATATTTTCATTCTTTCAGGTTTTCCTCCCTGAAATTTTCTTCAAAGACTGAAAGCATGAACAGTAATATTGCAGTTGTCCTTTGCAGCTCATTATAGCTTTATGATTTATGAATTTATACAAACTTATTTTTATTCTATTAAGTTATTATCACTACAAAGTGATATGTGTTCTTTACATTTACAATATATTTTCTAAGTTAATGATCCATTTATATTTGTTAGCTAAGGCTGCTGTAACAAAATACCACAAACTAAGTGTCTTAAACAACAGAAAGTGTTGTCTCATGATCTAGAGACTAGAAAACCCAGATCAAGTTGCTGACAGAGTTGGTTCCTTCAGAGGCCTATGAAGGAGGCTTCCTCCAGGCCTGTCTCCTAGCTGCTAGTGGTTTGTCTGCAATCTTTGAAGTTTCTGAGTTTCTTCTCCATCACCCTGATCTCTGTCTTCATCTTTACATGGTGTTCTCCCTGTGTGCATGCCTGTGTCCAGATTTCTCCTATATATAAAAACATCCAACATAATGGATTAGGGACCCCCCTTACTCCAATACGACCTCATCTTAAATTAACTAATTACATCTGCAACAACCCTATTTCTAAATAAGGTCACATTCTGAGGTAGTAGAAATTAAGACTTCAGCTATGAATTTGAGGAGGGGAGACATAATTCTAATCATAACATAATTTTATTAACTCTAAATTAAATGTATTGATATAACAGGAGACCATAACTGATTACAGTTAAATTTATATTTGAGACTTTTATTTTTTTACAGTCCACATGACTTTTTAGATTTTAATTGTATCTCCTTTCAGATTTCACTTCTCATGTCTATAGTGTTCTCTTTGATTTCACTCAGGTGTCTTAGGAAAGATGCTCTTTTCTATGCCTTTTAGAGTAATTTCTGCATTTTTAGAGTCCATAGTTCCATTACCATTTTGAGGGTTACCACTTAGTACATATGTTATGCATTATCTATTCACTCCAAAATTCATAAATTCTTGAAAGCCAGGCACTTGAAGGCAAGATTTTAATCTGTCTGGCAGTAGATATAATTCTGGGTGAGTTTCTGTATCTATAAAGAAATTAATAATGTTTTAATGGAATTTTGGAGAGGATTAAATAAGACACTGAAAATAAAGTAGGAAACACTCTTAGCATAATGCTTGAGACTTGGCTCAGGTAATTTTCTTGTTTTTATTTCATTATTCAAAATGGCCTAGTGTTATCTGCAAATTGAATGGAAAACTATGCAGCCCTTTTTCCAGGTCATTTAACAAAATTTACATAACATCGTGTCAGTTGTTTTTTTCTTCATTAGGTTGCTATACCAAATGATCTCTTCTCAAAATTTCAAATAGCTTTAAAGAAAAAAGACTTTTTTTGTTGTTTTATCATTTTTTGTTTTCCTTTTATATTAGCTGTATTTCAGCAGCTCCTGCCACACATTTTTTCCTTATTCCAGAATCCAGACTGAAAATGGAGCCTAAAGGCCTTATTGAGAATGTGCTATCTTTGTGACAGAGGAAAGGAGACCAATCCAAAACCAACAGTGTACCTTGCAGCTTCTGCACACAACTGACATACTATTTCTTCTACTCACATTCCTTTGGTTAGAGCAAATCATTTGAACAAGTATGGTGTAAGAGATTGGGAAGTATATTCCTTCCATAGAAAGGCACTGAAAGTCACATGATGAATGTAGAAATGTTTAATCTTCCAACAGGGGAGGAGGCAGAAAATAATTTGGAACATAACACAGCCTACCACAAAAACCAATAACAATTCTGATACCTGAAAAACATCAATATTAGCAATTTTCTTTTCATAGGTGTGCCCTTTTATTTCTACTTAGGCTTTTTTTTTTTGTTTTTAATCTCTTAGAAAAACATAATCATTGTAGCCTTGAAATGACTACAATTCATTGCCCTCATGGAAGCCTCTTCAAAAAACATTTGATCAGCATACTTTCATCCACATGCACGATTACTTTCTTCAAACTCCTAAACCAACATAATGTTTCCTTATATGGAGATTCATATTGACTTTCCTGTAATTTATATCCAAATAATTAGTGGTCTGTTAGACATCTTTTGCTATTGCCTACTTTGGAAAACTTCCTGACTTTTGGTAATAGTGCCCCATTTAAAAAATTACCCATTAACAAATCCAAACCAAAAATAAAATTCTTAGGATCCCCCAACCATCTGAATGGACTTTCTCCTGGGCCAGGGCACTCTAAAATTTAACCTGAAAGCTGGTTCAGGCCATGATGGGAAATGAGGGGGGGTTAGACATGCCTCATTTACCCTCTAGCATTAACATCAACACAGACCTTAAATCTGATAAAAAATGTATATATATTTACAATCTATTTCTCTGAAGTGTGCTACCTGGAGGCTTCATCTGAGTAATAAAACTTTGGTTTCCACAACCTTTTATCATAACCCAGACATTCCTTTCCATTCCTTTCTGTTGACAATAACTCTTTCAACCAATTGCCAATGAGGAAAATTTTGAATCTACCTCTAAGTATAACCTGGAACCCTCCCTCACCCTATCCTCCCACTTCAAATTGTCCCACCTTTCTAGACTGGATGAATGCACTCAGGATCTCCTGAGCTGTGTCATGGGTCATGGTCACTCATATTTGGCTCAGAATAAATCTCTTCAAATATTTTACAAAGTTTGACTCTTACCATCAACATCATTTTCAGTCTTCGTGTCTCATTTGGGTATTCTGCACTCTAAAGTGTCACAATAATTGGTTCTTAGGCAGATATATGACTCAAATTGAGCTAATCAGAGCAAATAGAGGTGAGCCTGACAACTTTTACAGAAACTATGAGGAAAGACTATCTCTCTCAGGGGGTTTATTAACTACTAAGATTCATCCCTGGAGCTACTGGTGACCCTCTGGCCACCATGAGAATATAGCTTATGTGAGAATAGTTCATATCAGAGAAATAAATTACTGACAGTGGAAGAAAAAATGAAAAGATTAACAGGATTGTTTAAGCACCTAGATACAACCTTAAATGAAGCTCAACCTCCTTAACTTCGTTTTTTGCTTAAACTGATTAGATTTCTGTCATATGCAACCAAAATGGTCTTGACTCATGTATTCAACTTTCTAGTTTTTTCTGGATTATCAGGGAGATGTGAATATATGCTTCCTGTTTCATTCCACCCTCCCTTTTCTTCTGTAAGATTTTTGATTTGATCAAAGTCATATAGAACTGTTTTTTATTCTTCACTCATTTGATATCAAATTAGTATAACCAAAAATTATTAAATAAATCTACTTTATGATAAGAAAATTTTATTTCTGATCTTCATGATGGAAATAAATCAAACTAATTTTAACAATGAATTATTTGCTATATATTATATTCAAGCTCTAAGAGAGTGCAGTGGCAGTATGGAATCAAGGAAAAGAATAGAGTTTGGAATTGTAAATCAAAGAAAATGACTGAGGTGAGTCTCCATCATTTTAGAGGTTTATTTTGTCAAGATTGAGGATGTGCCCAGGATAAAAGGAACACAAAACCACAAGAAACATCTCTGATTCGTGCTTCTTCCAAAGAGGGTTTTGGGATGTATATATTAAAAGGGAAAGGACAAGCAGTAGGAGAAAGAAGAAGGAAAAAAAAAAAGGAAGGGTAGATAAGGTAGATAAAAAGGGCAAACAGTTTCATTTCTTTTAGTCTTTGATCATTTACTGAATCCACATTTTACATGTATGAGAAGGAAGTGGGAAAATAGTTACGCATTTCTCTTGTACTCAGTGAATTTTTACATAAGTCAGCATAGAGCAGAAGAAGCCGTCAAATATGCATTTGTCTCAGGTGAATTGTGCGCAGGGGAGGGTTGATTTCTAAGTCCTGTCCTTTGTCCAGTACTCATGAAAATAAGCTGTTAACTTACATTGTCAGGGTGAAATTCAACAGAACTGTTTTAGGGAAAAGACCCTGGGACCCACAAGGAATTGTGAGCAAATTGTGAGACAGGTATGTAGTCTTTTATCTTTGTAGCTATCTATTTTGGAAGAAAATGAGAGACAGTTTTGCATGATGCAGCTCCCAGATTGACTTTTCCCTTTGGCTTAGTGAGTATGGGGTCCCAAGATTTTATTTTCCTCTCACAGAATTAATGAACATGAATTAGAAAACTGGCTCTCCTACTTATTAGCAGTGTGACCAGAGAGAATGATTTATACTTCATACATAAAATCTTAATTTTTTTATTGGGGATAATACTAGAAATTTAACAGCTATTGTAGTGAGCAAATGAAATGGTTTTTGTGACAAATATTATCAAGTTTTATAAAAATAACCACTATTCTTACCACTGGACCAAAGTGTAGTCCTAGGATTAGGAGCATTTACTTCACCCAGGAGCTCATTAAAAATGCAGATTCTCAGATCCCTGTCTTACTGAGTAAGACTTTTAGAGTGGTGCTCTGGAATCTATGTTTTAAGCTTTCCATGGAACACTTGTGAGAGTTACAACTGAAAACCATAATGTTAAACTTTCTATATGAATAAAAGAAGCCAGTCACCTGGATTTGCTATGATCTATGTTGGTAAGCAGCATTTGGTGAACTTAAGTCCATGTACCAATAACGTTCTTTCTAGCCACAAAGATAAAATGAACACAGATCTTAAAAATTCAATGCATAAGATAATGGTAAACGCATGGGAACAATGCACAAAGTGACACCTGCAACCTGGGCTGGAATAGTCTGGGTAATGTGGCATTTAGCTTGCCTACCTCAGCCCAGGAAGGCACATT